>NC_000006.12:12787272-12938787 GCF_000001405.40 Homo sapiens
GTTAGAGCCAAGTAGGTATGAGATTAAAAGCAAGTGTAAAGCATAGGCATTTTGAATATTTACTTCAGTGCCACACAGTTAAACCCTATCCATAGAAAAATACTCCCATAGAAAAAGACAACAATATCTTCCCATGACTTGAGTGTGAAAGGCGTAAGTCTCTTTTGTGTGGCAAATCTTATATCTTCGAGGCCAAGATTGGAAAAGTTCTGATGTGTCCTGAGCAAATGGTTTCCCGGGATGCTGATCAAAAGAACAGTCAGAGGTAGATTCTGGGAGTTTATTCCAACTTGCCTTTTGACAAAAGTTAGGGAGACTATGGGGGAAAGCTCAGTGTGGCTCTGATTTGCAGTTGAGCTCCTGCTCTTGGAGGGATTCTGGAAGGCCAAAGCTGGTGTGCTGACCCAACAGGTTCCCGGGACCTTTCTTAATTGTGCTACCTGTCCAGAGTGACCCTCCTAGATTCTGAACCAGCCTCTCAGGATGAGTACGGTGGCAAATTGTAGAGACCATGGTAGCAACTTCTGCCCCAACCCAAGCTCTGCTATTCCAGAGGGCACTTGGGGCCATACCTAACAGCCTTAGGCAAACTCAACAAAGGAGGCCAGGCACGGTGGCTCATGCCTATAATCCCAGCACTTTGGGAGGATGAGGCTGGCGGATCACCTGAGGTCAGGAGTACGAGACCAGCCTGGCCAACATGGCGAAACCCTGTCTCTAGTAAAAAATAGAAAAATCAGCCAGGCGTTGGAGCACTCGCCTGTAGTCCCAGCTACTCGGTAGGCTGAGGCAGGAGGATAGCGTGAGTCTGGGCAGCAGAGGTTGCAGTGAGCCAAGATCACGCCACTGCACTCCAGCCTGGGTGACAGAATGAGACTCAATCTCAAATTAAAAAAAAAAAAAAACACCTCAACAAAGGAAACTGAGCACCACAGACCCACGCTTCCCTCCCCAAGTTCCCTACCTCATCAGCTGATGTAACTAAGTGGTGATATTTCCAATTTCTACCACTTAGCGAGATGAGGGCTTTGCTTTGCAGAAATGAAAATCTAGAGGCCATGGTCAGGAGAGAAATATTATCTTATCAGAGTTATTTCTAAGGATTTTGAATGACTTAGTGATGATATACAAAATCACCTATTTTTAATGAGGACCTCATAGGTGATGGAGAGGAACGAAATATAATAAATGAGAATAAATTCATCAGGACACTGAGAATATATTGGGCTGTAAAATTTTATTTCACCTTGATTCACTGTTCTGATTTTTAGATGGAAAAAGATTCCAACATTAATTTTGCAATAGTTGTTATTATCCTTACCTATCAAAATATTAATAAAGTGAGAAATTAGTTAATTTATTTAAGGATATCCATAAATCTGACAGAGAAAAGTGGCCAAGGCCTTGTCTGGGTGCCCATTGTGCCCAGAATATTCTAGTGATCATTTCTAAGAACACAAAAGAAATCTAAATCATTGCCTCTGCCTTCTAGGAGCTAATAATTCTGGAGGGAGATAAGATACGTAAGAGAACCCTAAA
Organism: Homo sapiens; assembly: GCF_000001405.40. Lineage (NCBI taxonomy): Eukaryota > Metazoa > Chordata > Mammalia > Primates > Hominidae > Homo > Homo sapiens. Next base: position 12,788,812 of record NC_000006.12, read on the forward strand.
GTAACAAGAGGAGGCAGATTTGATTAAATTCTGCATTGAAGACTTGAAGGCATAGGAAATAAATGCCAATGCAAACATTGCAAGATGAGAGGAATAATGTGAGTTAGACTTTGAAAGGAAGGTAGGAGCTGAAGTAGAGAGAGTATTCGGAGAAGAAAGGAAGAAATCATTCCAGGAGAAATGAATGTAAGGCATTTGCATCAGCTGAGGTCATTTGGATGATATAACCACCATTTCTTTGTTCTTCTTTTGTATGTCAGTTTTGCGCACAATGCCTCTGCTCTCGTTTCCTCTTGAATCACCCAGGTTTAGGTGTTTGTTTTCCCACTTCCCTGACACTGATTTTGCTGAGATCACTAATGACTTACTTCCATGCTATTAAATCTAAAGTGAAATTTTCACACCTCATCTTACTTGGCTGGTCAGCAACATTTTGTACTACAGACCCTCTCTCTACCCCATTGGTAAACCTTCCTTGTGTGCCTGGTTTCCAGGACAGCCCCCTCTGTTAGATTCTCTCAAGCCATCGATTACTTATTCCAAGTCCCCTCTCACAGTCCTCATCCTATCCCTGATTTTTTTTTAACATTGGAGTATCTCAAGGCCAGGTCCGTGGTTCTCTCATCTCCTCCATCCATACCAACTCCCTCAATGATCTCAATTGCTATTATGATTTTTAAATACTATATATGAAGAGACAACTCCAAAATTTATATTCTGAGCCCATAACACTCTTCCAGACTCTATACTCACACAGCTGACTCCTTTTTGACATCCTCACTCAAATGGCCAACACTCATCCTAACCTGGACTCTTCATTCCCACCATAATTTGCCCCACCCTCAGGTTTCCCATCCCAGTCGATGGCTACTCCATCTTTCTGCGTACTTGGACTACAAACTTGGAATCTTTCCCTACTATTCTTTTTCTTTCTTTTTTTATTTTTATTTTTTATTTTTTTATTTTATTTTATTATTATTATACTTTAAGTTTTAGGGTACATGTGCACAACGTGCAGGTTAGTTACATATGTATACATGTGCCATGCTGGTGTGCTGCACCCATCAACTCGTCATTTAGCATTAGGTATATCTCCTAATGCTATCCCTCCCCCCTCCCTCTTTTTCTTTCACTGCCTATATCTGGAAATTCTGTTGGCTATTCCTTAAGAATATTTCCAGTTTCTGACCACATCTTACGACCTCCATTGCCACTAACCTGGTTTACTCTGATAACCTCTGAATAAGTCCCTGTTTCTTTTTTCCATTCCATTTTTTTCTCAACATCTATTCTCAAAACAGAAACCAGAGCTATCCTTTTTAAATGAAAGGCAGGTCATATCATTCCTCTGTGAAAAACCCCTTGGTCAATTCCTAATTTCACTTAGAGTAAAAGCCAAAATCCTGACATGACCTCAAGGCCCTTCATAATCTAGGAGCTTATTAACCTCTCTGATGGCATTCCCTAGAATTGCCCTGCTCACTTACCCTGATGGGCCACAATGACCTGTTTCCTTTTCTCCAGCACGTCAGGGACACTGGTGCCTTAGAGGCTTTTCACTTTTGTTCCCTCTGCCTGGAATGCTCTTTTCCAGGTATCATGTAACTCACTCCTTTTCCTCCCTCAAGTTCTTGCAGAAGTAAGGCCTCCTCTGACCACCCTATTTAAAATTGCAAACTGACCCATTCCCAGCCCTCTTGCTTTCGCATTGTTCATTGTCTATCTCCCTAATAAAATGTAAGCTCCTTTAGACCAGTGATCCTTGTCTGTTTTGTTCAGTAACCAAGATGACATAGTGAGTGCTCAGTAAATATTTGCTGGTGAATGGAGAGAGACTGATCATGGCCAATTTATGGAAAAGAGGATATTATTAGAAGTACATAGGATGGATCAGAGAATCTTAAGGAAAGTGAAGAACTAGGTTTGGGAAAGGATTAGAATCCATCTCTGTAGGTCCCTTCCATCAGGCTAAATCAGGAGATTTATCCAGCTTGATGTTGAAATTCCAGGAAGAGAGCCTTGCTGGTTTAGCTTGGTCACCTGCCTGATCCTTGGCCATGTGTGGGTGGGACAACTTGGTTGACAGTTCTGTCAAGATTGGATCAAATGGGGGAAGACTAATTTCCCCCTTTAAAATCAGTGTGCTGTTATTAAAAGAAGGCAGAATGAATAATGAGAAGGCAAACACGATAGACATCCTATTCAGTCATCATGCAACCCACATTCATTGAGCACTAATTATATGTCATGCATTGGGATACACAGGGGAGGTGGCAGGATAAGGACAGTCATGTAAGCAATTTTGTATAATAGGAAAGACAAATGTCCCAGAGATTTATACAAAATGCTATGGGAACACAGAAAAATGTGTGACTGCTTCCGTCTGCAGAAGGAGAAGGAAGCAGGTAGAAGTTTTTAGAGGACATGGACATGTTTTTTGAATGAGGATATTAACAATCTCAACCTTCAGCCTTCTCATCTATAGTTGCTAAGGAGCCCATCTGAGGTCCTTGCTCCTATTTCCTGCCCTGGGATGGAGGAATATACTGGAGGAAATAGATCAGCCCAATAGTTCAGAGATGAATAATACCCCAGGAACTTGTCACTGATCCCACTCCACAATGAAACGACCGGAACAAAGCCTTACGGTGAAGTATGAGCATGGTGTCCTCAGAGTGAAGAAGCCAGTCCTTCAGCAAAAGGAGATGCACACTCACTAACCCTAGCAAAGGACAGAGAAATGAGGCAGAAATGATGCGTGGTGAAATGCACTGGCAGGCTGGCTTTGAAGCCTCATGCTTGAGAGAGTTTCTTCACTGCTCTACGACTCACCTTTGAAAAGGATATAGTAATGCACCAACTTTTATTCAGAAGATTATATGAGACCATGAATGACTGTGTGTAGAATGAATAGCACAGTTCCACCACAAAATAAACAGCCGTTAAGTGTTTGTTCTTTCAGTGAATGCTTGCTGATCACCTCTGCATCCAGATCTTGTTCTAGGTGTAGCAATGAATAAGACAGAAAAAAATCCCCGCTTGCCTGAGGGTTGCACCATAGTGGGGAAAGCAGACGGTAAATACATAATGTGTTTCATAATATGAGGTTGGTGTTAAGAGTCATGGAGGAAAATAAAGCAAAGCAAGAGGGATATAAAGTAATGGGTGATATCTAATAAAGGGTGTCAAGGAAGGCAGCCCCAACAATGTGACATTTGAACAGCATCCCAAAGAAGATGTTAGTATACATGCAGGTATATATGTATGGATATGAAAGTAGACATAAGCATATGTGTGTGTGTGTTTTCATATGTATATGATTATATATCAATGCAATTGCACCATAGTTTGTGGTTAGAACTAAGAAAATGGGCCGGGCGCGGTGGCTCATGCCTGTAATCCCACCACTTTGGGAGGCCAAGGTGGGCAGATCACTTGAGGTCGGGAGTTCGAGACCAGCCTGACCAACATGGAGAAACCCCGTCTCTACCAAAAATACAAAATTAGCCGGGCGTGGTGGTACATGCCTGTAATCCCAGCTACTTGGGAGGCTGAGACAGGAGAATCACTTGAACCCGGGAGGCGGAGGTTGCAGTGAGCGGAGATTGCGCCATTGTACTCCAGCCTGGGCAACAAGAGCAAAACTCCATGTCAAAAAAAAAAAAAAAAAAAAAAAAAAAAAGAAGATTTCTGACATCATCCTGAAAAAATAAAAATATATAGAGTGGTTTTATTACTAAAAACTCAAATGCAGTGCTATAGACCTCACAATCATGCCCATGCATTTCAAGCTGTCCAGGGTTGCGAAAATTTCAGTGCTATTTGTGTCTTAGAAACTACTTCACTGTGATCATGATCTTCCAATTTTTGTTCAAAATCCTGAAAATTTAACTTGGCCTAGTATGTCTTTTGGACTCTGAGGCTTTTTAGATTTCATTAAAATGGAATTCAAGATTAAGTGATATTAAATAGAGCTGTAGATTCTTCAAGCTTGATGTTTCCCACTATGTTTGTGCTTTAAAGAGAAGCTTTTTTTTTTTTTTTTTTGGAATAATCATCAAAGGAATTCTGAAGCATTTCTGTCTTGACTACACCTACAGGCTTTCTATTTTCAGCAAGCTCCCTCCTAGTCAGAGACATTGCTTAGATTTTACATTTTGCTTGCTCCCAGTCAAGTTCGTGAGATTTGCCATTTTAATTTTATCTTCAAAGCTACATTTTCCCCCTAAAGACATGATCAACCCTCACCACCTGTTAGAATTAAATAAAAGGACAATTATTAGTAGCGTTCACATTAATGTTTTTATTCTTTGCTGTGGTATTTCTCAAGTGCTCTGAATGGGAAGTTATTAGGTCAGTATTTTATGAGTGTTTCAGAATTAAAGTTGAGCAAATGTCGAGTGTTTCCCTTATGCGAGAGTTGGCAACCCCTCCCGCTAGTAGCGATTCTTGAGTTTTATTGGGTTATAAAATCTTGTAAATGCAAAGCTTTGCATATTTTTTCTTTATTCAGATTTGTTATTTTTTTCCCAATTGGCATTTTTTGAAGAATGCTATTTGGCAAGGAACAAGTCTTAACTGAATGGGATATTGCAAGATTTCTGTCCTAGTGCCTTTTTCTCCATCTTTTTGTATATCAAGTGAACAAAAGGAAAATTTAATAAATGATGTTGTTCTTTATGCTTCAAGATTTGAAAGGAAATGCAAAATCACAGAGAAAATAAAATTTTTGCAAAATTCTGAATTGGAAGATACCTAGTGCTGTAAGCTCTGATTGTATTAAGAAACCAAACTCAGAAAAGAAGAATGACTTTTAAAAGTTAGTGGTAGAATTTAGTGGTGGGATGCACATCAGAATCCAGGATTTATGATTCTCAAATTAGTGGTGTTTTAACCATAACACTCTGTTTTCCAAAGGCTATAGATAAATATATGGTCTGAATCAGCCTTTTGAAATAGACTCATGTTTCTGTTTTCTTTAATGAGTCATCAGATTTCCAATGTAATCAATATCACTTTCCAAAAGCATCCTCTCAAACTACCCAATGGCAGCTAGTAATCTGAGTGAGAGTATAGTGTGAATTCATGTGAACTAGAAAGAAATTTAATCCAAAAAGCATTTATTATGCAACAACAAAATGCCAGGCACTCCGCTAAGTCCTGGAGCTATAAAGAGAAATAAAATGCAATGGGTGCAGAGTTTAAAGTCAGAGAGCTTTCAGTTGAAATCCTGGTTCAATCACTTAGCAGCTGGGTGACCTTAGAAAAATAAGTTAATCTTTCTGAGCCTCAACCCACTTGGCCTATTTATGAGAACAAAATGGAACATAATCCATTGTAAAATTGTTAGCACTTTGCACACATAGTAGGCCCTCAAATATGAGACCCCTTCTTCTTCCTTTAAGTCATAGATTAATTAATCTAGTAAGAGAGATCAAACTATGAACAGGTGACTATGATACCATTTTATAAAGATACAGTGGAGTTACTGCTGAAGTGTTAAGGGTATCCTTGCTTTCTCCTGAAAGGAGGTGCCAGGGAAAGCAGAGGAAGTACTTGGATGGGGAAGAAATTTGCCAGGCAGACAGGGTAAGGAGGGTAATTCCAAACCAAGGGAACTGCCCAAACAGATCACGAGCCTGAATATGCTGGGCATAGAGCAGCCCTATGCAATAGAAATTCATGAAACTTTACCTTTTTGACTAGCCACATTAGAAAAAGTAAAAGAGAACAGTTGGAATTAATTTTGATACTACATTTTACTTAGCCTGATATATATCTAAAATAGTATAATTTCAACATGTCATCGGCATAAAAACTTCAAGAAGTATTTTACATTCTTTTCCCCATACTAAGTCCTTGAAATTCGATGTGCGTCTTCCACCTCCAGCATGTCTCAATTCATGCTGGCCACCTTTCAAATGCTCAGCAGACACATGTGGTGTCTACTGTTTGTCTGGTGGCTGCCATATTGCTCAGCACAGGTAGAGTAAGTGGTGTGAGTGTGAGCAGCATAGGGATTAGAGAGAGTGGGGAACGTAGAGGGGAGGCAGGGGCCAGATGACAGAGGGCATTGTAGGAAGAGTTATGGATGACCAGATCTGTTTTTGACAGAGATCACTCTAGGGGGCTGTGAAGAGAGAAGGGGGCCATCACTCAGGAGGTTGTCACAAATGACCTAGACAGACTCTTGCTTCTTCTTAAAATTTACTGTGTACATCACTCATCTGAGGATCTTGTTAAAATGCAGATTCTGATTTTCTAGGCCTGGGGTGGAGCCAGGGGTTCTATATTTCTAACAAGCTCCTGGGTGATGCTCATGCCACTGATCCATGGACCACACACTTAGAGTAGCAAGGATCTAGAATAAAAACCAAGAAATAATTTACAAGATGATATTTCCTAGAGAGAGAAGAGAGAAATTCTAGTTAATAATCCCACTGAAAACAAATGACATGTGTACTTTGCAGTCTAGAGGTAAACTACTCTTGGCAATGAGCCCCACATTGAAGTTGCCCTTCTCGGGTAACTAGCTGTGTCAATTAAGGATGTGAATGACAACCATTATCTTGCATTTCATTTTTTTTAACCTTTCCAGGAAACTCATTAATTTATGTTAAAAGGATAAAGACATTTTGAGCACAAAGTGCCTGTGATTTAATGCTCCTGGGGAAGAACATTTTGATTCACCAATGAGTTGGGAACCACAGGACTGTAACAAAATTGGCCATCTGAAGGTTGGATGTATGATTAATAGGTGCTACTGTTTGAGTCAGGTAACATCCAACCAAACAATGTGGGAAGAGGAGAGGGCGAGAAGGGTATGGAAATAGAATCAGTGAATTTTTCATTGTGCCCATACATATTAAACAATTTGAGAGAGGTCAGTTGATCTATATAAGGAACAACATCATGGTTTTTGAGTTGTTTTTTTTTTTTAATTCTTCCCCTTTTTAAATACTTAGGTAACTTAGCCAAATGTATTAACCTTTTTTGGAACAGAGTGAAAATTTTCTTCAGGGGAAGTCTTGATAGAATACTGTCTCCTCTTAGCCAGACCTTACATTTTTAAGAAAAGAATCAATTCCTTTTCTTAAAATTTCTTAAAGACCCTTGGCCTTTCAGTAAATTTAAGTAAATAAAGAATTAATATTCTAAGTTAGAAAATTTTCAACATATACATCTGTGTTCCTTTAGAACCCAAAGATTTTAACTCTGTAGCATACTGAAACTTTGCCAAAACCAACGAAATTGTTTTATTTTTTTCTAGGTTAAGTTGAAAAGACTTGGGAAAGAAGGAAAAAGAATAACATTTGGGGGTATATAGGGTAGGGAGATTTAATTGCTGTCATTTCTAAATATGCATTTGCTTTTACAATATTTGAGTGCCCTTTGACTTACGTAAGCATGGGCATGCTGTTTGTATTATAGCAATTATGTATAATGCCCAATTTGAATGAAAACAATTTGAGAAATAAAACATAGTATTTCTCCCAGGGCATGCTACTTGGAAGACTGCTTGATGCCCCAGACTGTCTGCTATATTGCTATGTATTTCATGAGACCTTGTTCCCAGTACAGACTCTGAACCAGCAGCAGTATTTATCCTGACTGTTAACTGAATATCAGCATAGTAATGCTATGCACAGCAAGATGGGTCTTTAAGATGCCTCTGCAAAATGAATGCTTGACTTCGGATGTCTTGATTTTTTGACTTGTGGTCTTTAATTGATAACCAATTTGATTTCTAATCTTTGATTTTATGGTCGGATTCCCCACATATCTGCTAGGCATTGGTGTGCAGAGTCTCTGCAGACACTTAAGGAGAGAAGTAAGGTGGGAGATATGGTTTGCAGTAAATGAAGGTAGCATCACACAGAAAAGAGCTTTTGTTGGACCACACGGCAGATGAACAATGGAGAACCCCAAAGCTAGAGTCCATAGCAATGAATAAGCAGATACACAAAGTAGCAACTAATATCTATCTTTTCCCATTAATTTCCGGAGGAAGTGCTGGACACTTTTGTAAAATTCTCACTCTGTGTGCTGACACTGAAGAGCAGTTATTATCGCCTCCATTTTACAGAAGAGAAAATTAAGACTCAGAAATGTGCTAACAAACTTGCTCAAGGACACAAAGTTTGTCAGTGGAAGAGCCAGACATTAGGCCCAGGGTGTCCAGCTCCGAAGCCTAGGAGTGTGTGTGTGTGTGTGTGTGTGTGTGTGTGTGAGAGAGAGAGAGAGAGGGATATGAATAATGTAGGACTCCAGTTGGAGAGAAGAGAACTGATCCTGCCAAACCTGAGGCCTTCCAGGAGTAATGGAGATGCCTAGTCTAGGTGTGCACAATAGATGAAGCGGGACAGATTGATAACATGAAAACCCCACTGCAAATTCTGTAGCAGTCCACTTGCAAGCAGCTAAAGGGCAATCAAGTGCTTCCAGTGGCTCCAGGGAAAAGATTCTATAACAAAGATCAACAACCAAAAGGCATACATTCACGGACTGCATATTGTGCAGTGATTCAAAGGCAAGCACTTCCACTGAGTTTTCAATCTGGTCATCAGTACATTTGTCACTGACTGACCCTGCAGAGTTTGATAATTGCAGTGGCTCTACCTATGGGACATGCAAGTGGAAGGTAACTCATCGGTTACTTCTTTCCAGCAGTCATTCCTGTGCACCTTCTCCATAGTATTTTGGAGCCTACAGACTAGGAGGAAAAGGAAATAAACAATAATGCAGGAGGATAGCTGCTTTGCTGGAGGAGGTAGCCAGTACAGTGGGAGCATAGGGGAAAGCACATGTAAGTTGCACCCTCCCATGGCCGGTGGAGACTCTGGACTGCCTCACCCACCTGCCACACCAACCTATTCCTGGACACCTCTCTTCCTCACTCATCACACTCCAGCCACACTGTCCTTTTTGTCTGTCAACGCATCAAGCTCATTCTTCCCTGGGGGTTTTGTGCCACCTGTTCCCTCTACATAGAACACTTCTTCCTTGGATGATCACAGGAGTTGGAGTTGCTTCTTTCTGTGATTTAGGTCTCATCTCAAATGTCACTTCATCAAAGAGGCCATTTCAAACCACTATATTGAAAGTAGCCTCCCTCTCTTCTCAGTTTGCATTACATATTTATGATACCTACCGCTATTTAACATAGTATCATTTCTTTATATTTCCATGGTTATTTTCTTGGACTGTCAATGTCTCATCATTTCCTAGACACACACACACACACACACACACACACACCCCTACATAAGCTCTATAAGGGGAGGGACTTTGGTTAATTACTGTATCTTCAGTGTCTGGTACCATACTGTGGTTAGCACAGAGTCACCCATCAATAAATATTCACTAAATGAATGAGGGAAGGAGAAAGGAAGGGAGGGAAGGAAGGAAGAAAGAAAAAGAAAGGAAGCTTTCAATCCAGAAATCTGGAGGTTGAGTGGATATTTGTTTAATTACATGAGCACAGGGGGAGATCTCTCCAATATAATGGATGGCAGTGATAGAATAGTGTAGATGAAATTGAACTTGAGGGGTAGAGATTACAACTGCATGAGATGGTAGGAGAAACCTAGGGAAAGAGGTAGGAAGTGATTTAAGATTTCAAGGGATTAATGACTCAAAAAGGTAGTGGATATTGGAAAGGCATTCCAGACTCAAGGAACAGCCTAGACAGCACTACTTAAGTCTTAAGTAAATAAAGCATGATAGAACAACGGACTGAGTAACAAATGACCAATTTAAAGTCAGTGCCCGGGTGATGCCACCAGCTTTTTACTTCTGAAGGTTTGTCAGAAAGAGTGCACATCCTGCTTTCTAAGTGGGGGTGTGGTGACTTGTCCTGTATGCTTTGGATGGTCGCTGAAGAGGTCAGGGTATCGCAAAGGAAGCTGTTTTTCATGCTGGATTATCTTTCAGAGTATAGCTTTCAATTGGCTTTTAATTTTTGATGCATAATCAAGATGCATACCATGACATAGTGTTTAGAATAAATTCATATGGTTTCAAAATGCAAACAGCTTATGGCCCTTGCCTGAATCTATATAGTGGAAGGGAACATTCTCTCTATTCTTTCATTATAGTTGATTGTTTTTCTCCAAGAACCAAATTCCACCAGTTGCACCCAAAAGTATATTAAGATTCTTTCTTCTCTGAAGTTGTTCTCTTTTCTTTCCTTTGTGAAGATCTCTAGGTAGCAAATGAAAGCATTTCACTGACTTAAGACTATGTCAAATAGTGAAAAGGCTAAGTGACAACTTCTAAATGTCATATTCTACCTTAGTCACTTTTGGGAAAATGAATATCTATTTTTTAATTTGACCTTTCTGTGGAGCGTGTTTGGTACATGTGATTCAAATCAGTTTTGCTCAAGTCATAAGATTCATAAAGGATCTTTACCCATCGGATATGTCATCATGATCTACGGATAGGATGGATACAAGGCGAGGTCATACATCAAGCTGGGTCACAATAGGTGGTCAGGAACCAGCTGGGCTCTGGTGTGTAATGCCACCAGAATCAAGATGAATATGTCAATGAGACATTGTTAGCTTTCAAAGCTAGAGCCAGTTACTAGGTTTTCAAAATACTAGATTTTTTTCAAATTACTTTTCTTCATGAAAAAGAACTATATTGTCTTCCTGCTATAATGAAAAAAAAGGCATTCACAATACCAGGTGCTCTGATACTTACCAACATTCAAAGTAATTTCACAGGAAATGAAAAAACTAATTACATTTCTTTTGGGTTGGACAAGAGACCAGTGAGAAGGGCACCTGCCTCACCTAACCCAGCCACCATTGCTAGAAACTGACATATTACAAATTTCTGATGTGTCAATAACCTTGGTAGTCTGGCCAAGCTGTACAGCCATGTGGTTAGACTTTATGAAAATCTAGTGTCAGTGATGTTTCAACCTGAATGTAGTATGACCTTGAATATAATGAAATAAAGGTGGATTCTTATAGAATTTTTTCTAGGCAAACTGTTACAGATATATTCACAACTATGAATAGACATAGAAAAAATGTGGTGAAAGATGACGCTGGTATAACCCAGAACTCAGAACTAATTTTGAACTAACGCTATAGCATGTTACACTCTTTTGCAATTACAAAAAGTTTTGACAGACATTATTTACTTTAATTTTTCCATCAACACTGTGTGATAGCTTTTCATTATTCTTATTATTTCCATTATATTGCTAAAAACACTGAAATCCAAATAAATAAATGACAGGCACAGCAAACCCAGGTCTTCTTATCTCAAACTCCGTATTTATTTCATTACCCCATAGAAAAATGAAATAGAACAGTCATATAAGCAAGAAGCAATGGCAAAGAAAAATCTCAAATCCAACCATTTTCTAGGCTAGATGTTTAGTCATTTCTTTGGTTAGAATGAGTTTCAAAGGATGTAAATCTCTGGAGTTCATTTTTAAAATATAAAGATTATCATTCCATATGTGCAAGAGAAAAATCTCAAAGTCTGGGCACTTCACCAAAAGGCTACAACCCAAGAAGATGAAGAGTGAGTGGGCAACACATGCAGGGAGACTAACTTTATTTTTTCAGTATTTTCTCCCTATTACAAACTTTTTCCTAGACTCCAGTTAAACGAATTGATTTTATGTCTCATTGTATGCCATTGTTTTTTCTCTTAAAGTTAAAAGAGTGACTCCTAATTTTAATATGTGTAGAGTTCATTAGGGAAGTCATAATGAAGAGAGTGAGCTATTCGATCTAGAAAATATTGAGTTAAGAAAGTTTGGAAGTTGAAGCCAGGTGCCGTGCCTCATACCTGTAATCCCAGTACTATGGGAGGCCAAGGAGGACAGATTGCTTGAGGACAGGAGTTCAAGACCAGCCTGGGCAACATAGTGAAACCCCAGCTCTACAAAAGTAAAATAAAATTTAGCACAGACTGGTAGCATGTGCCTGTAGTCCCAGCTCTTTGGGAGGCTGAGGTCGGAGGATCACCTGAGCCCTGGAGGTCCAAGGCTACAGTGAGCCCTGATCCTGCCACTGTACTCCAGCCTGGGTGTCACAGTGAGACCCTGTCTCAAAAGAAAAAGAAAAAAAAAAGAAGGAAGATAAAAAGCCAATTTGATTAGTTCATTTTCTAAATGGTGAATTATGCCAATACATTTTTGAGTTTAATAATTTTTTAAATAACATGAAGTTATTGGGAAAACAGTACAGTATATGGTAATTATTTACTGGGATTCTTTAGGGCCTTTGATTTTTGTTCTCAAGATAATAATGCTGAAAATAGATGTAATGATATGTGCCTTAAATTAATCATTTGTATTGGTGAAGTAACTTGGACAAAGATTTAGAGCATGTTAATATATTTTGATAATAATGTAGAAGGGGGAATGTATTATAAAAAGGCTGAAAAGGTCGTTGCAAATGAATCATAGAAGAACACCATCTAACTTGTTGATAAAGCCTCATTGTGCGTGTTAAGTTAGTGAGATGGTCAACAGTGGCCACGTGCCTCCTAGTCTGCCCAGCAGCATTGTTGCCACATACTTGCTTGAGCAAAATGTTGTCAGTACTTCACTACCCAACTATGTATGGCTTGGCCATCTCATTATCAAAAGAATGTAGGCAAACTAGAGCAAGTTCATAAGGGGCCATGAAAGTGATTATAAGGGTTCACACATAAGAATAAAAATAAAAAAGAACAGAATATTCTCACTGCTTGGCTGATAGACTATGACGGGGTATGGATGGCAGAAGGGGGAGGAATTAATTGCAGAGAAGGAGCTAAGAAGTCTGTAGAAGTTTAGGAAGGAAGCATTTAGTAGAATCTTGGGATTTTAAAGCTGTAAGGCATCTTAGAGATCATCTGGAGATTTGGTTGGAATTAATGAGGCTAAATTAAGCTGAGAAAGCTTGACATAAAAAGCAAGAAAAACTGTCTGCAAATGAGAATTATTTAATATAGCTTTATTGAGCAAAGAAGAATCTCTGCCTCAGTTCTTCTCCAATATGTTAGATTCCTAGAATTTGAGGTCCTCTTGCAACATTTCAGCTAATGCCTTTACTCATAGGAATCAGGAATTAGGTTTCCGAGGAGTGACTAAATAAATTGTCAGACATTGTCTTTTGATGACCTTGTTTACCATTACTTATATTGGTGGCCTCATCTGATTCAAATTTAGAAAATTGCATAGGTTTGGTGTGATCATTAAACCTTACATAACCCTTTGAATTTATATGCCCTTTAAGTCATAGGAAAATTGAGCTACATATTATATAAAATAATTTTATTTTATATAATAAATGTACTTTATTATATAAAATAATATGTAGCTCAATTTTCCTATGACTTAAAGGGCATATAAATATAACTGGCATTAATAGCCAGTTAATGCCAAAGGTGATGAGTAGATCTGACTTCCACCTATGCTTTTCTTTTTCCAACATAATAACTTATTGAATAAAACAATTATTTCTTAGTTCTTATAAGTTCATACTCCTCATTGGCAATTTACTATAACGTAAAAGAAAAAGGAACAGTCTTAGGAACAAAAAGCTACACACAAAATTAGTCATTTTTGTGTGCAGGCAAATGGAATATATAATTAGGCTAAAATAAAAGCAGAACAGGAACAAATTAAAACAAGAAAAATGATGTATATACAAGTATCAGAAGAGGAGCAATTAGAGATGACCTGCCAGATCAGAGTGATTCTAAGAAATGTGGAATGTATTTTCTTTATTATACTGAATCTAAAATGCCATCAACCGTAGGATGTACCATTATTTTCTCTGCCACCAAAAAAGAGAAAACCAATTAAACTATGACGCAATGCTTTTTTATCCCATCAAGTACAAGATACATTCTGATTTCTTAAATGCTAAAATGTTTTTACAACTGTGAATTTGGAATCTATAAAATATAAAATTTTAAGCTTAACTCCATAGGAATGGATTACCTCTCTAAGCTCAGTGTTTACGATCTTGATGGAAAGCCCCTTGGCACCCAAGATTCTCGTCTCTATCATTTTATTCCGAGAGAAGACGTTTTAAAAGTGACTGCAAGTTTTGAGTTTGGTTTCCCATTTTAAAAGAAAATCAATTCAGTGTATTCCTTACTCTTGAATGACAAAAGTGGCAAGATAAAAACCCTATGTGAAGATAGCTAATATATGTGGCTTTGTAGAGGAGCCACCTTCCATGATATGATGAAGGTGAACACGTGTGTTAAAATTCCAGGCTGCCATAACTTTTCCCCTTTCAAAGCTTGTGTGTTAAACTGTGATCTGCTGACAAGCCACACTGTCTTATCTGTGCACTGCTCAAGAACTGTGCACTGCTTCTACTTGGTCCTATTATTGTGTCACTTCTTGACAGGTTCTCTTGTTTGAAAGTTCTATGTGTCAACCCCGCTGCGTTCAATAATTCACAGATCTCTGGCACCCTTGAGCCAAAAGCTGAGAGGAGGCTGTGGCAGGACTGAGATTGGTGGTCTCTCTTTTTCACTTCTTCCCCTCTCATCCTTGCACCTGCTCCAGTCCTCTGACTGAGTCCACAGCCCCTCACAGAAAAGGAGGAGGAGACATATTAGGGAAGGTGAGGAAGACTAAAGAACACTCTACAGCAGATTGGGCCTCCCGAAAGGAAGAAGAGGAAATTAAGGGTCACAAAAACGTGCCAAAACCATGCTACTCTCAAGCAGCCTCACCTTACACTATACTTCTTGCACTCTTAGAGTGTAAAATGTACTTGAATAAATAGGACAAAGAAACATTCCTGTTTATTCTTACCAAACAAAGCCACACATATCAGGAATGCAACTATTTCTTTTTTCTAAATTCCTCTAAACTGTGCTGTAATCTAGAGTTTCTCAACTTTGGCACTATTGACATTTTGGGCGGGATAATTATTTGGTGAAGGAGTGGAGCTGCCTCGTGCCTTGCAGGTTATTTAGCAGCATCTCTGGCCTCTACAGACCAGATGCCAGTAGCAGGGCATTCCCAGTTGTGACAAACAAAAAAATTTCTTCAGACATTGACAAGTGTCCCTGGGAGACAAAGTTGCCCCTCAACCCCACCCCATTTGAGAACCTGTGCTCTAATCTCTTCAGAAAGAAAATCTCCAGGGAAAAGAACAAAATTCCAAATAGTAACAAATTATCAATTGGTCCTCGGCAAAGGGCTAAATAGGATTCATTTTTCTAGAATTCTCCAAGGCCATGCATAGAGAGAAAAATTCGGCTTAGAGGTGTTTTATACCATTCATCTGACCTTAGCATGACTAAATTCACTCTATTTCAGAGAAGATCAACACCACCTACAAAACATTATCTGGTACCATCTTGTGGCTATTAGACTTCTTTTGCCTTTTTAGTTTAAAACCAAATGCCTATGGAATTATCTGCTCATTGAATCATCTAATCATTCTTATATTTGGATCAAAGAAAACAACTCTGCCTCTTATTCAGTGACTTGTGGGAGGCTGTTTTCATTGTTGACTTATGTTAGATGGCTTTTGTCCCATAAATTTTTCTGATTTCTTCTCATATGTTCTTTCTTACTTGGAATGGCCCAGCGGGTGATAACCTCAGAGATGTGATAAAACAGAGGGTTTGGGCTTAACCACCTGAAAAGGTACAATTCACTGAAAGAAGATGGCTGGTCCCATTACAGAATGATTATTTGAAATATAAAACATTTTCTTATAGGGATTTTATTAAATATTATTTTATCAGGCTGGGCCCAGTGGCTCACGCCTGTAACCCCAGCATTTTGGGAGGGGGGTGGATCCCTTGAGCCCAGGAGTTCGAGATGAGCTTGGGCAACATGGCGAAACCCTGTCTCTACAAAAAGCACAAAAATTAGCCAGATGTGGTGACATGTGCCTGTAGTCCCAGCTACTGCTTGAGCCTGGGAGGGTGAGGTTGCAGTGAGCTGAAATCATACCACTGCAATCCAGCCTGGGTGACAGAGTGGCACCCTGTTTCAAAATAAAAAATATTTTATTAAATCATTTTGTCAAACTTTGAATAGACCTCAACTGAGCATACTAGTAACTTACGTATGTGAAAATAAATACTCCAAAAATGGACAAGAATTAATCTATAGACATATATTCAAAAAATTGTATACTAGTGATTACCACTACAAAATTATACAAAACAGCAATCACTGCTTCATATGCTATTCAGAATTTTACCCCTCTTTTATCCTCAATGTATGCATTGCAAAGGAATTTGCCTTTTGGGTTATATGTGGGTTGCTGGGATTTGGCTTTTTAACATTTTTTGGTGAAGTTTGGGGCTAAAACCTATCAAGTTATCTTGTTAGCTGAGTTGGAAATTCTTACCACGAAGGAAATGACTCATCTGTGCGTTGAAAATATCACACTTGAAATTCATCAATTAACACATTGTATGGAATTTATTTAACAATACATTTTTAGGTGCCAAACTCTTTAACTTCTCCTTAAAATAAATGTCTTCTAAAATAATCTGGTTTACTTGAGGTCATAATTCTTCAAATAATTGTCAGTCCCCTATCTCACTTTTCTAGAAGTGCGACACGTTTGTGTAGCTTTAAATTCTGTCTCACTTCTCCCAGTCTCAAACAATCCTCGTCACCACTCAGCAGCCTCCACTTAGTCACCTCCCTTTCGTTGTACTTCCATCTCTGACGTCTGCCCCACAATACTCCTGGAATGGCTATTCTCTGAAAGATATGGATGACCTACTAATTGTCAACTTGAATGGCTTCTTTCTTTCTTTCTCTCTCTCTGTCTCTCTTTCTTTCTTTCTTTCTTTTTTTTGGATGGAGTCTTGCTCTGTTGCCCAGGCTGGAGTGCAATGGCAAGATCTCGGCTCACTGCAACCTCCACCTCCTAGGCTCAAGCAATTCTCCTGCCTCCGTTTCCTGAGTAGCTGGGATTACAGGCACCCACCACCACTCCTAACTAATTTTTGTATTTTTAGTAGGGACAGGGTTTCACCACATTGGCCAAGATTGTCTCGAACTCCTGACTTCAGGTGATCTGCCTGCCTCAGGTTCCCAAAGTGCTGGGACTACGGGCGTGAGCCACCATGCCCGGCCTATTTTCTTATCTTCAGATTTCTAACAGCATTTGCCAATGTTGACTACAACTTCTGTCATGAAGCTTACATTCCTTGGTGTCATAATGCTGCATTCTTGTTATTCTCCCACTTCCCAAATCCCAATTTTATGGTCTCCTACCCCTTTTTCCCAAATATAGCTCAGTATTCTATATTTGATTCAGTTCTCTCTCTACACTGTCTTTTGTAGAAATCCTCTCCAGTCTCAAGGCTTTAATACCTGCCTCCAAAATCTACACCTTCTGCGATCCTCATCTGCATTTCATAACCTAGATAGGACTCCATTTTCAACCGCAGTGTCTACCATCCTCTCATTTAAATATATTTATTTTCCCTCTATTCTGGTCCCATGACATCAGCACCATCTTTGTCATCACACGGACTTTCAATCTGGAAGAAAACGTTCATTTCTCTTTTTCTCTCCTACTACATTGTATCAGTTGCCAATCATGTATGAGGCACTTTTGTAAAGACTTTAATTTCACTTCCCTTCCTTTTAGGTCACAAAATCCTAATTCAGGCCCTTATTCCCTCTTTTATGGACTAAGCACCTCCCTAATTTTCTCTTTTATAATCTGTTAGAGAGGGGGTCTTGTTATGTTGCCCAGGCTGGCCTCAAAATCCTGGGATTAAATGACCTCCTGCCTCAGCCTCCCTCCTAGCTGGGATTACAGGCTCAGCCACCTCGCCCAGCTATAATCAAATGTTTTAAAACCTTTTTTTTTAGAGAGTATAACTTCTGCCATTCCTAGCATGCTTTAATACTAGAAAATTATCTTTTATACAGTATTATTTAGTGAAGCAATAATTTTTTTATAAAACAGATCTGCATTATACATTTTCACCAGTAATAGCTATAAATTTCAATCTTTAGGATGATTAAAATACTTTACATCAAAATCCCTGGGCAAAATGGCTGTCCTTAAAAAACACAGCCAGCAGGACATATATTTTCAGAATTGTGAATTTGTTTGCATGATAGCTGCAATTACAAATCTGGAGTTTTTAATCTAGCAATCAGATGACAAGTTGAGCAATTACCATTTCATGCGTAACTATTTTTATGATGACATTTTTTTCAAAGCAGCTGTTGTGGTTAAAAACACAAAGATTCTTATTTTTTCCTTCCATGCTACAGTATTTTGGCAAACAAATCTCTGTTTCCCAAAACATAAAGATCCTGATTCTGAAAGATGATGTTGTAACACATGTGTGCTTTCATAGATTTTTCAGTGCTTAATTATCTCATAGAGATGGGCTTTTAAAAAAAATCTCACACAGTACTTAGTACAGAGTGGGTACCCGATGAGTAGTTCATAAATGGATGTGGGAATGAATATTATTTGGATTATTTAATCATATCTTTCTAAAATGGATTTTTTGTTTATGTTGATAGCAACTGGAAGAGAAAAAATAAAATATTTAATTATTCCATTTTCTTTTATTCCGCAACAGGCTGATGGCATTGAAGAGGTAGATAATGCTACTTTGGAGAATTTTTCACCAAGAGGGATGCTAGTGTATATCGAGGAGTTGATTCTCCATGTTAATTATTGTGCCAACCCCAGGAAATATAAGGACCTGAGAAAGATAGGGCAGAGAGTAGACAGAAGGATCCTGCTGATCAGTGCTTATTTCAGATATTTTAGTTTGTCAGCAGACTGTTTTGTTTAGAACGGAAGCATGTGAAATTCTTACAAAGAGCGGATAAGAACTCTGATCGACACTCTCATACCACCCAGTCTGCCCAATGAACCCATCTTAAATTGTCCTTCCTTTGTGAACCTTCCTTTGTGTCCTTCCTTTGTGAACTGAGCATCACAGGCATAGCTTGTTGCTTCCTCTTCTCCCTAGATCTTGAGCTTCCTTACATCCATTCTTGTATTTGTTACCCTGAACACCCAATAGCATTGTGATAGCTTTAAAGGCTGAAATCACATTTCAATATTCTTTGCATCACTGTGTCTCGTAAAATGTCGTTGCCCAATAAAGTGTTTTGAATTTGCTTTGAGGAGAGTAAAGATTTAGATACTCACACCTCAGCTTTGGTTATTTTAGGCAGATTTACAGTCAGTAAGTGTAATCTAGAGATTGAATTTTCCACTTAGTCTACTGGACCTAATGAGTCCACCTAATGAGTCAGGATACTCATGACAAGCAGGTAACTTTTCCATTATATCTTCACGTTTAAAAAAGTATTTTGTCACCTCTATAGTTCTTAATATGACATTAATATGATTCATTGTAAGCACATGAACAGAAACCAGTTTTTGGAGCACTGATTACTAATCTATACAACGAGATTCTTTATCCGTCTCTTAAATCTTATTCAGTCTTTGGGCACTATTTTTCAGTCTTGGATAGGTTTAAAAGTATATATTTTAACTTTTAAAAACTTAGTGGAGAATAAATTTTTGAAACATTTCAGGAGGGCTATTCATCAGTACATACTGAAAGTAATTTGCATTCACTTTGTTCCAACAAATCCACCCATAAAAATTTATCCCAATTTAATAACGTTGCCAGAAGATTTGGCTACAGATGTTTTATGGAATTGGGGTAATTAAAAGAGTAAAAATTAGAACCCATCATAATGTATGAAAATAGTGGTAAAACTACATAAAACTTATACAAAGGAATACAAGGAAGATATTGTAAGTGACATAGAAAGGTTTTCATGAGATAAGATGAAGATTTAAAAAATCAGGTTATAAAACTACATGAGTATCCCACTTCTAGAAAATAATAACTCAGTGAGAAAAGAGAATACCTATCAGTGTTGTTGCCACATCTCTAGGTGATAAAATAGTAGTGATTTTTAGTTTCTTCCTCTTCCTCTTCTTCTTCTTCTCCTTCTCCTTCTCCTTCTCCTCCTTCTTCTCCTTCTTCTCCTTCTTATCCCCTTCCCCCTCCCCCTCCTCCTCCTCCTCCTTCTTCTTCTTTTCTTCTTTCTTTGGGGGCGGTGGGTGGTGACAGGGTCTCTCTCTCACTCTGTTGCCCAGGCTGGAGTGCAGTGGTGCAATCTTGGCTCACTGCAACCTTCACTTCCCGGGCTCAAGTGATCCTCCCACTTCAGCCTCCTGGGTAGCTGGGACTATAGTCATGTGCCACCACTCCCAGCTAAGTTTTTTTTGGTGTGTATTTTTTTGTAGAGATGGAGTTACCCCATGTTGCCCAGGCTGGTCTCAAACTCCCGGGGTGAAGCCATCCTCTTGCCTCAGCATCCCGAAGTGCTGATGTTACAGGAGTAAGCCACCATGCCCAGCCATCTACTGTCTTACTTTTAAGCTATCTGTGTTTTCTAACTTTCTACAGTAAAAGTTATTGCTTTGGTAATATGGAAAATAAAAGCTATTGTTGATATTTACATAGGTGCTTTTATTATGACATTGAAAAAATCAATCACCCTAGTGCAGGAATATAGATATTCCACACCCAGCCCCATTCCTGTGCCCACAACAGATATCACTCATCAATCCTAGTACTCTGCCCTAAGAAGGCCCAGTGAAACCTCAGTTATTCACAGCATTGCTCTTGGCAGCCACTATCCATTTATCCAAACTGGCATGAGAGATGAAACCTATTTATCAACCCTACTCTAGCAGATAAAACAAAACAAAACACAACTCTGTTTCCAGGAATTTAGATTTAAGGATCTTCTTTCATTCAGCTTTTCCTCTAACAAGCATTTCAGTTTCTCCATTTATAAAAAATTCTATTTACTTCTAGGGAATATTATGCCCACTAATAAAATGGTAGATGTGAGCACAGGTGTCTTACTTAGAGAAAAAGGATGATGCTTTAAGTAAGCTCTATAGTTCAGTTGTCCTTACAAGATCAGATACATACGGAAGGCCTATGGATTGGAACTTTCCCTCCATCCAAAACAATAAAAAATAAATTGTATCAAAAATTATCTTTTTTGGACAGCAAAATGTATGATTCTGTTATTCTAACTAATGGCTAAAACAATAAATACATTTTAAAATAATTCTTATCATCTTGATATTAAAGTCTAAGGCCTCATACTCAAAAGGAAGGTGTCTAGGACTCTAATACTAGGAGATGAAACTACGGAATAAATGAACCAAATTTTCTTAAAATCTGTGTGTAGATAGATCCATTGCCTGGATAGTTACATTTGCTTCCCAACAAGTCTTTTAGGTCTTATTCACATTCAGTTTTGGTGGTTACAGAACGAAATTAATCAAATGAAATCTACGTAGGTTGAAAATGAAATGTCACCTTCAGATTATTTTTCTCTTCATATAATATACACATTTCAAAGTTAGGTATTTTCAAACTCATTTTTTTCTCACTGATAATAAGAGACAAAGGGGCCAAAATTGCTCCTGGCTTCATGCCAAAGTATTCTTTTTTCTGCATTGTGGTTGGTTGGTTTGTTGTTTGTTTGTTTGTTTGTTTGTTTGTTTTTGCCTAAGATAATTTACACTGCTCTTCCATCCCTCCACATCCCCTGGCATCTAGAAAAACGCTCTCTTTGAATTGTATATAAGGCAGAATTTGTGTGAAGCTCTTCAGGTTTCCAGATGCAGAGATGCACTGTGTTCTCTCAGTGGATGGGGTTTCTGGTACCCCATCCTGGGACTCCAACCTGAGACCCCATCCTGAGACTCCATACCTGGGAGGTCTCAGCAGCTGCAGGACAGGGAGGCTGCTCCACCTGCCAGAAAGTGACAACAAAGGCTCATGTTCCGGCATCCTCCCCATAGCCACCAGGTAGTGACTGCCGTGGTGTGCCCTGCTCATAGCTGAGGTGGTTGACTCTGCTCTTCTCACCACTCATGCATCTTCTTCCTCCTCTCCTACCAACTACCTCCATGTGTCTATCTCCTTTCTCCTTTGGCTCCTTTCTGCTCACTTCCTTTTCTCTGTGCTTCTTTGCCCCTGCACTATGCTATTGTATGTCTTCTCCATATGTCTCTCACATTCTAACTCCTCAAGAAAGAGCCTGCTTGGTCACCCAGTTGCCCATGAGTATCAGGCAGGGCACACTTGGGGAGCAGTCCGTTTCTTCATTGACGCGCTTTGTGTCAGTTGCCTGTCCTCACTCCTCTTAGATGTTTCTTTGCCTCATGTGTAGATTCAGTGGGTGCTCTGAGGACTTCTTCCATAGCCTGTCCAATACAAGATTGATTTCTTAGGTTATTTCGTGGGCTTTAAAGTGACATGGGATTTAGCATGATAGAGGAAGATGCTCCGTTGGCTTGTTTTATTATCAGTCGTAGATTACATAAGGGAGTTTCAGAAATCATAGGACGAAGTAAGTGTGATAGTTTGAAGACAACATTGAAAAATGTACTAGATTACAATTTTCCTGGTCACATAAACCTCCTAAATAAATGCAATTGAAATTGGGAAGATGTAGCACTGGGTTTATTTAAAACCATTACATAAAATGAATCCTTGATTATATAAGGCTACACTGGAGAATATAGTTTCATTGCTGAAAATAACTTGTGGGTTTTAGTTAATTTGACTTGTTGAAAGTATACACATTTTCTTACTGGAAATGCTATATATCTTGACACGGTAGTGGTTACTAGGGTATATAAAAATGTAAAACCATTGAACTGTGCACTTAAGATTAGTGTACGTGATGTATTTTATTTTATGTTTGCTATCTTTCAATTTAGAAAGATATGGTTTGATTTATTTCTTACTTTCTATTCTTATCTTGACCAAATCTTCTCCAGTTTGAGGCTGTTAGCCCAAATACATCCCACACTGTGTTGTTTTTTGCCTTTTTATTCTACCCCACACGGATCACCCTTTCTGAAGCAGCTCTGGTCTGGGCCTGTCTTCATCAGGTACCGTTGTTTACATAACTCGGTGTTCTGCCTCTGACTGCCTACTTAGTAGTAGACTTTCTGAAGGCAGGCACCATACTCGGTTTCCTTTATGTCTCCGTGGCAGCCGACACAGGGCTCAGCTCGTGGTAAGATTTCATTAAGGATGTCAAAGAGATTCATGGTCCTTTGTTTTTTCTGAAAGAAGAAGTTGATCTACAGGGTGCCTGGGGAAGAGACAAGCAAGAGCTACTTTTTTTTTTTTATGAGGCAAATGCACATAACGTAAAATTAACCATTTTAAACTGTGCAATTCAATAGCATTTTGTCCATTCACAGTGTTGTGCAGACACCATCTCTATCTAGTCCCAAAATGTTTTCATTACCCCAAAAGAAAACCATGTGGCCACTTAGCAGTCACTGCCTGTTGTCCCTCACCCCAGTCCTAGCAACAACCACTCCCCTTTCTGTCTCTGCAGATTACTTATTCTGGACATTTTATATAAATGGAATCATACAGTATGTGACTTTTGTGTCTGGCTTCTCTCACTTAGCATAATGTTTCCTAAGTTCATCCACATTGTAGCATGTTCTCAGTGCTTCATTTCTTTTTGTGGCTAAAGTGCTAACATTTTTTAAACACGAACAAAGCACCAAGTTTGATATTTTAAGTGTGTCATCACGTGGAGTCCTTGTAATAGCACTAAGATAAAGGAATTATTAACCCTATGTTGCTGATCTGAAAACTAAGGTTAAAAGAAGCGAAGTGTCTAGCCTAAGTTTATAAAGCAAATAAACCACCCAACAAGGCCTAGGATCCAAATTCCTGACCCCAAGCCCAGTGTTTCTACACTACACTGAATTGTCTCTCAGAAAGCTCGTGAACGCCCCTAGCTTATTCAGCCCTGCTGTCTGTAGGCTGCTTACTTCCCATCGTCATGCCTTTCTCCATTCTCTGCTGATACGTTAGTGATTCGAGCACAACATTTCAGAGTAGGCCAAACAGACCCTTGCTCGTGGTTTCCTGTGTTTGAAATCGCATGATTGTTAGGACTCAAAAGAGAGACTTATTACAGAAATTCCCGTTGCACTTCAGCGGTGTGTAATTGGACTTTCATCAAATTGAAGCCCATAAGCAATTTTCTTTCATGGCCTGGCAATCCTCAGAGAAGAAGACCTCTTCAGCTGTGTTTAAACCATTGAGGAGAGGGAGTACCTTGAATATGCATGAGCATGACCGAGGCAGCAACAGCAGAGGTGGATTTTAATAATTAATTCATTAGGCCAATTTATTTCTCTAATTGGTTGTGAAGCTTTGTCAACTAGGAGATAGTAAAAACAATTAAAAATTCAAATTATTTTTTATAACCTGGTGGATCTTAGGTATTAAGGATGCACAGAGAGAGAAAAAAACAGACAGGAAGCCCCAATCATCTCTTCAATAAGTGTTTAAATATTTACAAATTGCACTTCACTGAAACTCATTTTTATTTTTATAAATGTGTGTTGTCTAAATGTGTGCTAGGATATTGGTTTCACACACAAGTTCTGAGAGCCCTTTTAGAGTTGAAGGGCCTTATACTTAACCTTAGCTTCATGAACCAGCTTCAGGGGGGTCTATGAACACCTTGAAATTATCTGGAAAACTTCACATATGTGTGCAGTTTTCTAGGCTGAGCGGGCAGAGCTTTTGCCAGATTCTCATGGTTTAGGAACCACTACTCTACTGCATTCTTTCCAATTATCTGAGTCATCAGCAGACCACAGTCTAACAGTTTAGAGACACCAAGTCCCTCTGCCATTAGAGAAGTTTGCATCCAGAGTGTGAGTGTGCTCCTGCCATCCCAAACCACTAATGACCAACCAGCCCCTTAGCAAAGGCTCAGAGCCCTTCCTGTGATAATAGCCTTGGAAAAGCCACTCTGTAGTTTCCGCCTGTCCCTCTCTTACTAGTAAACTAAACTGTACAATCAGGCCAGAGACTGCATCAAAAACTAAGAGCAGCTAGATGAAGGCCAACACTAGGCGCAAGTCACCACTGGAACTAGTGCTCTAGAGGTTCAGAAGAAGAAAATTATCAGAGCCTTGCCACTCCGAGTGTGGCCCACAGGCCAGCAGCATCAGCATCCTTGCGGAGCTTGCTAGGAACACAGGATCTCAGGCCCTCACCCCAGACCTACTGAATCAGAATCTGCATTTTGACAAGCTGCACAGGGGATTCCTAAACACCTTAGTTTAAGAAGCATCAGTTCAGTGGATGCCCAGTTCTGAGCACCGCTGTTCATTCTCAGTCCAGCTCCTTCTGTTCCATTTCCCCTGTGAAGACACATCCCTCCTTTAACTTTACCCTGGTTTTAGCTCCTGGGTGTCAGGTGGAATTTCTGTTCTCTCATGTCCCCTAAGGAAGCAGCAATTTCTAGTGCATGTTTCCTGTTTGGCCCCATGATCTGACCTCCAGCCCATTTCTGGAGTACAAACTCCTCTTGCTGCCCTGTGTTGATAGTGTTGTGATGAAAGAGGAAGGAATCCAAAGATCAGGGTTCTCCAGTCACCTTCCTCATGAGCCATACAGTCATGAGCCAGTTACCGCCTACTGTGCCTCAATGTCCCGATCTTCATTAGCTTGTGGCAAGAAGTAAACAAAGACATTTATGAAAAGTGCTGTGTGCCTGGCACAGAATAGACGCTCCAAAAATGTCTCTTTGCTGTTTTAGTCATTTGGCAAAGGCCACAGATACTCTCTGGAAAGCGCACTGAATTGGGAGCTAGCCAGTCTGCTCTTCTTGCACCTGATCAGGTTTTGCCTAGTTTTGTGTGAACTTGAGTAAGTCCCTTGCCCCGCAGTTTCCCAACCTGTAAAATAAGGCTTTGACCACAGGACTTGCTAAGATTCTGTATTATACCTCTGCCATATTATATATTGCCTCCTAGAGAAAGCCATCACCCACCAAATGTTCTACAAATGGAAGAAAAAAAAACAAAAAAAGCTATACTCGATACAGTTAGTCTAACACTTGAAGGGTATCCCTTGAGACAATATGTTTTAATTGTTCCACTTCCATGGACATTAATCCCCCACCATTAGTGATTCTGAGTTGCTGGGGGAGGCTGCTTTATGCAACCAAGAGCCCAAATCCTTGGTCCTTTGTGAGAGATCCTCCATTAAGTCTGTCTCAAAACACAACATGCTTCAAGTGAATTGAGCACAGTTGCAAATTCCTCTGTGACAAAATGAAGACTAATTTTGAGCTTCAGTACTTTGTGTTTATCCATCATGGTGCCAACTGTCATTGTAATGATACAGTCTCCCATGCAGACAATTAAAAATCATGCTCAAAGAATCTGTTCTAATTGCTTTGCTTTGAGTTACAGTTCAATGTAGAAACACCCCCATGCCATAAGGAGGGCCACCACACTGTTTGCAGTTTTGGAAAAAATTTTAACAACCTGTAGATAACTGCTTTTTCACATTAAAACATCTCAAGAGGCCTCTTAAAACTGAAGCAATGCAAATGGTTGTTTTGTTTTGATAGTGCCTGTATTTCTTTTCCCTGTATTTCTAGACGCTGAAACTGCCCCTCCCCAGTATCAAATTTGCTTCCCAAGATTCCTATCTCTGTTGAGAACCTCATACTCTGGAATTTTCTCTACTTGCATTTCCCTACACCAAACTTACCTGTTTTGATCATTCCCTCTGAAGCCAGATCACTGCTACTAAACAGCAAAGGTGACAAATTAATCTGTTTCCGTGTACTCAGTGGTTGCTAATGAAGCTTACTCTTACTTTGTCCTTTAGAAATGGGAAAGGAAGAAAATAATCATCCTCCCCTTTTTATTGAGTGTGAGTTGGCAGGGTGTGATGCTACTTAACTCCTTCACCTTCTCCCAAATTAAGTCACATTTGTGAAACTACAGCTCACATCCAAAACGGGGAAAATACAGTTCTCTGGAAAAAGCGGTAAAGGGTGGATCTGTTTCCTTGTCTTCAGTTATTTTCTTCTTCTCTCTGTATAAACCCTTTGTCCTTTTCCCCAGTCTAGCTTGCTTTTGTTACTTAACTGAACACCAAATAGTAGGTAGTACCTTTCCACAAGAAACTGAAGGTTTTCATGAAAAAAAGTCCTTTTTCTTCTCCTGGTGTGTGTCCATCTTCTAGGGGAACAAGGCAGGTTGCTGTGGGTTTATGCTCCGTTTCCAAGTGAAAGAATCAATATTTCCTGGGCATATACTCAGCTTCCAAAGAGAAGGATCCCTCCAATATGGGCAAGGCAAGAGAAAGTTAACTCACTACACCTCTTCACCCCTGCAGGTGGATCATATTGGAGAAGCAAACAACAGTTGCACAATATTACCAGATTCTGGAACTGTCCACCAATGCTACCTTAAATGGCTCTGGATTGGAACTGCATAAAAGGCTCTTAATTTAGAGATTCATGAACATTGGCATTAACGTAAAGAAGCTGTTAATGTATCGCCTTAATGTACTTGATGATACCTGATATATGCAAAAGAGATGTGAACCACTTACCCTCTTGTGGGAAGCCCCATGCTTTTTGAGTTTCAAAGAATGATGTCATCTCTTAAACATTTTATCCGTCTCTTAATCTGAAGTTCTCTCTAAGGTAAATTCAGTTATTCCCCTTAGTCTTTTAGTCTTATGTAATTAAACTCTGTGGGTGTGTATCTAGGGTTTCATGTCAGGGAGAGATAAAGTCTGATTAGGTTTGCTCCCTAGGGGAAGAATCATTACTCTGAGACATGTTAATCTTTGTTCTTCAGGGCCCTGCATTGCACTGCATTGTGGTTGGGAGACATTTGTCAGTGTGTCACTGTCCACTGAAATCACAGCTTATACCTTTCTTCTATTCTCCCAACTTTAGGGTATCATACAGTTTTTCAGAAGCAATAAATCTTGTTTTTGTCTATAAAAATGGCAATAGGCACAGCCTGGAAGACAGGCTTTGATTTTTGTTGCCTTTGTTTTAAAAATCTTCCCTATCCCAGTAACAAGCTAGAGGGGGTCAGAAAGATGTGTTGACAAGTGTCAAAAGAATTCAGGAGTCCCATTTTGAGGAAGATGACCAAATTATCAGGACAATATTTAGATTACAGAAGGATGTGCAGTAGAATTATGGCTTGTCTTTGCTGTGAGCATCCACACGGGGTCTAGCCACAAAGAAAGGAAAAAAACACTTTGCCAACCGGGAAGGACACTCGTAATTTTTACTACAGAAGGGAGAGGAAGAAGACACAGGGTTGTGTGTGTGGGGGTGCATGTGTGTGCCTGCCTCTGTGTGAATCTATTGAATATATGTGCATGCATGTAACGGCAGGATTTTTATGGTGGTAATATGGCTTCTTTGATTGTCGGGAAGATAGGATTAGGATCATACTTGTGAAGTTGCCTAAAGATGTTGATCATTTATAAACCTTGGCTGCCTTTTCTTATTTTTAGTGAATTTGGGGAGAGTGGACTTTTTTTCAAAGGGGACTTTAACCAAGGAAAGTGATAGAAGGTCAAATTATGAAGCAGGTGAAATTTATCATCACATCGTATGTATCCCTTTTCTGGTAACTTTTACTCCTCTCTGTACCTTTTCCAGACCCTTCTACCCATCAAAACCAAGAAAAGTTATAAACATATTTGTAGCAATAATAAATGGCTTGGGAAACCATAAGTTAAAGTGGTTGAGAGTCAGATCTGAGATTGAAACCGGGCTCTGCCATATACTGTGGGACCTTGGACGAGTTTATCTTTCTGATCCTCAGTTTTTTAAACAGGAAAATGGAAATAATGAGATCATCTTAGTGCTCTTGCTACAGTTGAGTGAGTTAATGCATCTGAAACACTGAGCACAGTAGCTGGGATGGAGTAACTGCTTATATAAATGATAGTGTTTATTACTGATACAGCCTCCTGAAGTGAGAGAAAAGAGCTCAAATCTTTGGACCTTTTCAAACAGTAAGGTGGAAGATGTGGGTTATATTTTTCAGGAAAGATGGGTACTGAAATCATTCTACCCTCTATTAGTAAGGTAAACTATATATTGTGGAAGATCACTACCAATTAAAGGTAAGCACATGTTTACTTTAATTTTTTTTTTTTTTTTTGAGATGGAGTCTTGCACTGTCGCCCAGCCTGGAGTGCAGTGGCACGATCTCGGCTCACTGCATGCTCTGCCTCCCGGGTTCACACCATTCTCCTGCCTCAGCCTCCCGAGTAGCTGGGACTACAGGCGCCTGCCACCATGCCAGGCTAGTTTTTTGTATTTTTAGTAGAGACAGGGTTTCACCATATTAGCCAGGATGGTCTCGATCTCCTGACCTCGTGATCCACCTGCCTTGGCCTCCCAAAGTGCTGGGATTACAGGTGTGAGCCACCATCCCCGGCCTTAAATTGTAATTTTTAGGGGAGCCAGGTGTGTATCAGTTAGTGTTTGCTACGTAACAAACCTACCCAGAAGTTAGCCTAAAACAATGTTTATTATTTCTCAGGAATCTGTGACTTGGCTGGGTGGTTCTTCCAGTCTAGGACAGTCCTTTTTGGGCTTGATGGTCAAGGATGGCCTCACTCACGTGTCTGGGGACTCTGCTGGGTCAGCTGAGATGTCTGGGCTAGCTTTGGCCTGTATCCAGGTAGTATTTCATCTTCCAGGAGGCCAACCCAGACTTGTTCATATGATGGCAAAAGAGTTCTAGCAGCTACAGAGGGCAAACTCCAGTAGGCAAGTACATTTCAAGTCTTGGTTTGCTAATCAGCCAAAGTCAGTCACATGACCAACCCAGATGCAAGGAGTGGGAAGTAGATTTCACGTGATGGAAGTTGCTGCAAAGAATTTGTGGTCACTCAGATTCTACAGTATGAGGAGTTTATATTGGCCAGTCTTCCTCATGTTCATACAGAGCTATGAAAAGAATTCTTTAGTATATTTTCTAATGAGTTGACAGCTTTGTTCCAATAAAAAAATCAAAACCTTTAGGAAAAAGTACATCACTTCTTAGAATACAGAGTCATCATCTGCATCTGATTCTTGGCCTCTCACCCATACCAACATAGGTATAAAATTTCCAAGGTAATTGTAGCCCAAACAGATTGGTCCAGAACTCTCCATACAAGTCAGCTTCCTTTTTACTGTTTGGAAATCTGTTGGAAAGTACAGCAGTTCTGTATTTCCATGTTTATTCAAGAAAATGCAGGCATAGGACATGCCAGAAATGTCTTTGCAGGAGATATGAGCTGGAAATAAAGCGCAGAGTTTGGAAAACATTTGAAGCAAACAAAACAACACTACAACTGCACCTTTTGCAACTTCTCAGTCAAAGCATTGACTTATGGTGACTTGAAAACCATGAACACTGGGCATTCCACCGCCAAAACCTCGGCATCTTCCAACTGATTAGTGTGTCTCATCTGCCACTCTATTTCCATACCATAATGCTTTCCTTTTGTTGAATTTTGCGGATTTTTGTAGGTCTTTTGGGGCTTCTCGTTTAATATCCCAGAGTGACAATGAGATAATGGGCATTATGTAATTTTGAAAGGAAAATTCTCTGCAATTACAATGTATTGCTTTATTTTCTGCAAGCAAAATATTTCATGGAGTTACTCAGTTTGCTCTTTTGTTCCACAGTAGCTCTTGTGGTGAACACTAGAGCAGCTCAAACAGGTGGTCTGAGTCTCTCATATATTTCAACCACACAGGATGTTTATTTGATATAGGTGATAACATCACACTTCACGCAGTAAGGTAGGAGTTAGGAAAAGCCGGGGGTTCTTCTCAATGCACCTCTTATTAGTTGTGAATTTGGGCAATAAAAACAACTTCACTGTGTCTCGATTTTTTCTGCCATAAAATGGAAATATGAATTCTTGTCTATCCCAAGAAGTGTTGTTCTGATGACCAAATGAAATTGTGTTTGGGAAAGTGATTTGTAATTTTAAAAATCTGTATAGAGATGATATTATTATTATTTTTAGCCTCAAAAAGGCCATGTCCAGAATCATTCAAAGCAGTGAGGGACGCAGCTCTGTTTTACTGATTTGAGTTTAGGATGAGTAATTACTCTAACATCAAATGCGAGCAGAAAGCCACTTCTATAGGTCAGGTATCCTCGATTCCAGTTCAGTAACCATCCTCATTCTAGCTTATTCTTGGGATTATCAAGGTACCAGAACTTACAGTTATTTAGAGACTAGTCACACCAAGCATGTATTACTTCCTTTCTGCTGCTGCCTAAATACGTAGCAACTCATTTCCTAGGAAACAACTCTACACCCTAGCAGCACTTGATTCAAGCATGGGAGAGAAAGTAAAAACTGAGAACTTAACGATTTGGAGGAATGGGATGGGGGTGATTATTGCATACAAGTGTAAGTCATTTATTACCTCCCTAACCTCTTCTGCATAAATATTGAGTATTCACTCATCAGTAAACAAGTTTTTTTGTTGTTGTTTTGTTTTGTTTTTTGAGATAGAGTCTCGCTCTGTTGCCAAGGCTGGAGTGCGGTGGTGGGATCTCGGTTCACTGCACCCCCTGCCTCCAGGTTCAAGTGATTCTTCTGCCTCAGCCTCCCAAGGAGCTGGGACTACAGGCGCATGCCACCACGTCTGACTAATTTTTTGTATTTTTAGTAGAGACAGGGTTTCACCATGTTAACCAGGATGGTCTCAATCTCCTGACTTCATGATTCGCCCGCCTCAGCCTCCCAAAATGCTAGGATTACAGGTGTGAGCCACCTCACCTAGCCAACTAGTGTTTCTAATGGTCTAAGTACAATGAAAACTTGTTTCAGAGCAAAGAGATGCTTTATATAACATCCCTCTCCTCCTGCTCTCCTCTCTTCTCGCTTTCTCCTCTCATCCTCTCTTATCTTGGAGTGCCTTGTATACTTTGAGTGTCTTTACATAAGGGTTACTCAACCAGGAGATTTACAAATGCACAGGTTCTACTTTGGGAAGAGAAAACAGAAATTAATTGGAAATCAAAGCATGAGACATTTAATTTAAAACTTGAATTTGTTATTGCTTCAAACTTAACATATTCAAGTGTACCTCTTCTGATTGAGAAAAGAAGCTGAGTTGCTAAGATATGAGAACTGTTTATATAAACTCTTTATTAACAAAAAATCATCATTACCATCACCAAAACCGAGCCCTCCAGGAAAGGAAAAAATAGACAAAAAGAAACCTGCCCTATGTGCTGTTGAGAAATGAGAACAATGCCTTTACTTTTGTTTGACACTTTCACCTTTTCAAACTACTTCCAAATATTTTCTTACTGAAAAACCTGGTATAGAGATCTAAGATTTTCAGGAAGGACCTTTAGTTTACTTGTATTTGTGTAGGCTAGACACAAAATCTTTCTGAGACCTACCAATGTGGTTATTCAATGTATTTGTGTCTTCAATACTCAAATATAAAGAAGAAGTGCATGAGAAGCTGACCACTGGCCAGGCGTGGTGGCTGACGCCTGTAATCCTAGCACTTTGTGAGGTCAAGGCAGTTGGATGACCTGAGGTCAGGAGTTTGAGACCATCCTGGCCAACATGGTGAAACCCCGTCTCTACTAAAAAATACAAAAATTAGCCAGGCACAGTAGCACACATCTGTAATTCTAACTATTCAGGAAGCTGAGGCAGGAGAATTGCTTGAACCTGGGAGGCGGAGGTCGCAGTGAGCTGAGATCGCACCACTGCACTCCAGCCTGGGTGACAGAGTGAGATTTCACATCAAAAAAAAAAAAAAAAAAAAAAGAGAGAGAGAGAGAGAGAGAAGTTAAGCATCAATGAGTGTGGCTCAGGTCCTAAACCACAGGCTGAAACCCCAGGAAACTTCATACCTCTGTTGTCCTACACTCCAATGTGTAGTCAGTCATTTAGTCTTTCAATGTCTCTGTATGAATGCAAGGGACTCACAGGATATTTTGTTGGGAAAAAAATCAAGGTTTTTTAAAACGATAATATATGTTATCCGTTGACTGCCTATTCTGGGCCAGGGTATTGGGTTAAGGGCTTTATAAATGTTTTTGTCAACTTCTAAAACATCTCTAGATATTATTGGCACATTGGATTTAGAAAGAAGAAGGGAGGCTAAATAAGTTGTCAAAGGTCACACAAACTGGTCCAGATTCCGCCCAGATATGTGAGCAAATGACTTTGGGTCACAGGCTTGACTGCGTCTTTGTACATATTGTTCGGTATTCTGAAAACTCTTTGAAAGGAAACTTTGGGGAAAATCATTTTAATTGTAAGCCCCATGAGGAGACCATAGTTCAAACACATCCCCTCAGCCTGGGGCCAAGTAAGAGGAACTTTAAGAAACCCCCAGGAGAGTTTATCATGTGGCCTGTAGTGTTGGTAGAAGACTCTGGGCTGCTGGAGGACACAGGTCTGGAAATATAAGGGACAAGAACCTGGCTGTGGCAGCATGACAGAGGTTTTGGAGTCACTGGACTCCTGTTGACTAAAGGTCAAAGGCATGTGTTTTGAGAGGAGGAGATGTTGGCAGAAATAGAAACTGGCCTGGAGCTGTTCTACATGGTCTTTGCTACAGAGAGCCACCTGGAAGGACAGAGTCCCCAACAGGGAGAACCTGTGTGACAACGGACTTCTAAGAACCAGAGACCTAAGGGGAGACCACGAGGAGCCATCCAGAAATTCTAGTCAGGGAGGCACAAGGGAGCGATACCACATGAAGGAGGGCTGGGGCCCAGCCAGGTGCTAGGGGATGCCTGACAATCCACCAAGCCCTCCATGAGACAGAATTGACTGTAAGTATCTGCCACGGTCAGAAGAAACCACAGCCGGGTCCTAAAAGTTCTAAGCAACTAATATGTTCCTCGCCCCAGGCCTCCTCTCCCTTCCCTGCTCTTCCAAGTGTTAGAGGAGCCGGGGCATCTAGCAAGGGTATGGCTGGAGTTTGAGGGCAAGGGCAGGACAGAGGGACAGAAGCCCATCAGGAAAGAACAGAACCAGACCTTCTTTCTTTCCCAGAATAGACTTCTAGCCAGAAGCAGCCCAAAACCACAGCTTTAACATTATTTAACATGCATGGATTCTGAGGTCAAAAGTGAGAGAAGGATTTTTGTTTTGTTTTGTTACCTCTGAGAAGGTAGATGAGCCATAAGGCCACAGAGAAAGTTTGCAAGAGAGGTTAGGGCAGCGGACAATGCCGTTTGATTTTACTCTTCAAGTCCTCCTTTAACAATAACATCTGGGTCAGGGATATGAGTGGGCTTAGCAGTAACAACAGATAAAACCCATGGAGCCTCATTAATAGATTTACTGAACAATATTGTGTTAATAGGCACCTTGGCTTCTGATTAGAAAAGGATTATATATCGAGGCAAAATTGCAAAACCTAATTTTCTGCAGACATCGCCTAATTATGGGGCCTCTGTCACCTACCACCCGTGTAAACAGGGGCAAGTTACTTACATTCTACGTGCTTAGATTTCTACATCTGCAAAATGGGAAGAATAAGTCACTTTGACCTAAGATTTTGGGAAGGAAGTAAATAAGTCAATATATTTAAAGTGTTTGGAAGAAGAAATGACACATGGTGAGTGCTTAATTTGATATTTTAAATGAGCTTTATTAAAATCAACACACAGTGAATTCAAGCAGTTAATTTGAAAGCACCCATTCATGAAGTGAACAGTGAGTTTTAAAACAATAAAATATAAGAAATGTTCCAATAGTTCAAAAAAATCAATAAGACTCGTGGAATTTTTTGAGTGAAGTGAACAAAATTAAAGGCTAACTGTATTTTCTTGGTTATTACAAACATAACAAGCCCATCTCTGGACTTGGACAGATCTGTCTTGTAGATTTTCATAGCAATTGGAGATCCATATGGAATGTGAAAGTTCTGGAACCAAATGACCCTGTTACAGTTTCAGAACACAGTTTTGTATTGAATTATGCTAACTGATTTTTATAAAATCCCTTTATCAGTTGGAGCTTCAGGTTCACTCTACATTTCGATTTTGTCGGTTGGTCTGTTTTTATAATGGGGCAGAACTAATTTGCTGCCATTTTAGAAGCTTCTACTTAGTGTTAATTCATCATATTCATTTCTTTTATTCTGCAAACAAATATAAACTCAAGTTCATTAGCTACTGGGATCATTCACTGCTTCTTTGGGGTGTGACCACATATTGATTTCATACATTCCTGAATTATATTTTTCCTTCCTTTAGAAGGAAAATTCTATTGCCTACCTCAGAGGTCCCCAACCCCCGGGCCAGGGACTGGTACTGGTCTGTGATGTGTTAGGAAGTGAGCTGCATAGCAGGAGGTGAGCAGTGGGCAAGCAGGCGGAACGTCATTTGTGTTCACAGCCGCTCCCCATCGCTTGCATTACTGCCTGAGCTCTGCCTCCCGTCAGATCAGTGGTGGCATTAGATTTTCATAGAAGCGAGAATCCTATCGTGGAAGGCACAGGCAAGGGATCTAGGTTGCATGCTCCTAATGAGAATCTAATGTGTGATGAGCTGTCACTGTCTCCCATCACCCCCAGATGGGACCATCTTGTTTCAAGAAAGCAAGCTCAGCGCCCTCACTGATTCTGCATTATGATGAGCTGTATAATTATTTCATTATATATTACAATATAACAATATAGAAATAAAATGCGCCATAAATGTAATGCACTTGAATCATCCCAAAATCATCCCCCTACCCTGGTCCGTGGAAAAATTGTCTTCCACGAAACTGGTCCCTGGTGCCAAAAAGGCTGGGGACTGCTGGCCTACCTAATGTCCCTAATGACATTATAAATCTGCATACTATTAAAGAGAAAAGAAAAGCCATATAAAGACTTTTTAGTTTACCTTTCTGAAAGAAGATGACTTAAGAATGGAATTCAGAAAGTTTAGAGGGGGTAGTGAAGAAAGGCATGGAGGCTAGAAATAAAGTAGATAAAGTTATTCTTTTCCTAGCACTATTTTCATTGCATGCTTCATTTCTTCTCAACCATGTCATAATGGGATCTATTAATATATTAGTTCTTGGGTCCTGATATTTCAGGAAATTAACTTTAGTATCTGTAGTTCTGTCCATGTATGTTTCAGTCTAATACAGAGTGTAGTGGTGAACAGCAAGGATTCTGCAACCAAAGTACTTGGGTCTGAAAGGGGCTCTATCCTGGCTCACCACCACAGTGACCTTGGGCAGGTGACTTGTGCTCTCTGTGCTGGGGTTTCCACATCTGTAAAATCAATGGAAAAGGTATTAAGTTCATATATTTAAAGTGCTTAGAAAAGGGCAAGGAGCAGTAGCTCACACCTGTAATCCCAGCACTTTGAGGGGCCAAGGCAGGAGGATAACTTGAGGTCAGAAGTTTGAGACCAGCCTGGGCAACATAGCAAGACTCCCATCTCCACACACACACACACAGACACACACACACACATTTAATTTAATTTAAAAGTTAGCTGAGTGTGGTGGTGTGCACCTGTAGTCCTAGCTACTCAAGAGGCTGGATCAGGATGATGGCTTGAGCCCCGGAGTTCAAGGCTGCAGAGGGCTATGAGTGTGCCTCTGCACTCCAGCCTGGGCAACAGAACAAAACCCTCTCTCTCTCAAAAAAAAAAAAAAAGTGTTTAGAAGAGTAAGGGGCACATGGTGACACTTAATAAATCTTAGCTCTTACTATTTCTTTTATTTTTCTGCTCATTTCTGAATGAAAGGACAGCTTCTTGTTTAGTGTGGTTTCTCCATGTTATTTGGAGACATACCAGCATGTTACAAATGAACAGAATAAGTTAATTTAAAAACCTAAGTTTGTGTTAATACAGCCAATTTGTATTTTGAAGGTCAAGTGCTGGTTGTGATGATCAATCTCATCATTCTGGTTTTTATGTTTGGATTGTGGAAGTTGTATCCACAGAAGCAGTGAATCTCAAAGGCCTGTTTCCTGCCTTTTTCCTTTCCCAGTCATTTGCCTCTACCACATTCTCCTATGCAATTTCTTTCTAGAGTGTCCTTCTGTCTCCATTTTTGCTTTTTCCTTCACCATCAGTTCCTCTGCAGGTCTGGTTGTCTCATTCTCATCTGCTAGGGTACTGCCTTTCCTCTCTTCACTTCATGAAATTCAGGTTTCCCAAACTCACCTTTACTCTTGGTAAACTCTCCACTCACGAGGAGATAAACATTACAAATAACACATGAAAAGAAAAGAAAAGAAAAGAAAAGAAACATTTAGGAGGGGACTTTTCACAACTCCATGTGTTTTTCCTAGATTACAGTTTTGTTTGTATTTTAATTAATCATTTTAATAGATTGGGAGTGTTTCTCAGTATGATTTTGTGCATGCACATAGATGACAAGGTTCTGTAATGTAGAGACTGAAAGTAATTTTTTCCCATGGCTAACTCCAAAAATGCAGACATTTGGCTGAGTGACTTAGAACCAAGAAAGCCAATAGAGGGTATATTTAATGCAGTATTTCCATTCATGTACTTACCACTTTTTTTCTGGAAAGGAATTGAGAGCTTACAAGGATATATACTCCCCAAAAAGATAATGTGAATTTAAAATGTGTCTCCCCCTACACAAAAAAGTAAAAATAAAGTATTGGGCAAAGTAGAGCCAGGGAGACTAAACATTTATATCATGATGACCCACATGTCTTTTTTAGATGCGGTTACATAATTGGCTAGGAAAATTTAAAAACTTGATCAAATTTAGCAACAATTCCCAATGTTTTCCCTACTTCAACTTGTAGAACAGATGACTTTTGCCTGTGAGATTATCATCTCCATGGGGAAATAGCTGTAGCCAGTTTGCCTCTTGTTATTCTATTTTTCTGCCTCTCAGGAAGAAAGCATACAGGAGTTCAAATTACTGTGACATTGTTATAGGGTGTCCTTGAATCTTTTCTAATTTATGTCTTAAGTATGTAATTTACAAACTTCATTACTTTAATAGTAATAATAAAAATCCCTTGCAGTGCATCTGAAATATACTGTGCTAGAGAACTTCCAGGTTTGCACAATTCACAATGTCCATAAATCAATATAAAGGAAATAATAACTCAGGTTAAGGACAATTAATCTTGAAATGAAGATCAAGCAGGGATTTCTCCTGGGACTCATTATGGGCATGCTTTGTTCAATGAATCACTTTCTCCACGACACCCTGACTGACTGTAGAAGGACCAACGAGTTCCATTGGACTAATTTTAACACTCTTAAGAATTGAATGCTAAGAACATCCTAATAACCACCCAAATTTTATTTATTCTGTGGGATACCCACTTTCCCTCACTTGTTGCAATTCTGTGGGATACCCACTTTCCCTCACTCGTTATCGTCCTTCTTTGTTGTTTCTGTGCATAAAGCTGATAGTCATTACGCTATTGATTATTTAAGAAAACAACCCATCTTGAGATAATGTTGCTGGCTAACATTCCCGGAGTTTTCTCGAAAGGACTTTTTCTATCTTTTACTTAATTACTTTAGAGATAAGAACTTCCCAAATAGCTGCTATAACTTCACCACATAGATGAGAAGGCAAATTCGCTCAATTGTATTTAATGTAGGGCAAGTATTCTTAGACATTTTGGGGTCACAAATCCATTGCAAAAATGATGAAAGCTCCATCCCTAGAAAAATGCACTGATTCATAACATTACATTTTATGTACCATTTCAAAGATTTTGTAGACCTCTTAGAGCTTACACAAAGGCCTTCTAATCCAAAGATGCCATTCATTCTAACTTAAGTAATACAGCTCTGCTTATTTTAAGATATATCCATGTGAATGAAAGCCTGTGTATGGAGAATCTACCTCTGGAAGATAATTTGAAATGACCACCACATCAGTGTCAATAGACAGAGTCAAGAGAGGTATTTCATTCATGAAAAAGGCAACATATATCCTCACACAGATGCAAATCCAATTTACTAGGATTGGCAGAACCTGATGTTTATGACAGATATTCTTGGAGCTGACAAAATCTAGTATTTTTGTGGAAGCACATACCAGCTTCAAATTGTCCACTTTTCCTGAAAAGACTGGCCCTTGGCAAGCATACTAATGATATAAAGAAAGCAGAAGTAAATTTTAATGTAATTTCCTTCAACCACATTACATGATAATATGAAAATAACAAGAAGAGCTTTCTTTTCTGTCTTATGTGAGGGTGAGGGGGGGTGAAGCTTGCAATAAATAGAATATTTGGATAAATTATGGCTTGTTGGGCTTTTTTGATACTCATTAGTCACTTTGGTTTTCAGCAATTGTTTAACATCCTTCTTTTTCAGTAAAAAACTTAATTTTGGAATGTGATTGTCAGGTTAATCAGAGCTAGAATTACCTATACAAAGAAGTAGCTGTGGGCTTTGATTACCTACCTAACCTTAACCAATCCCAGTTGGCTGAGTGGGTAGGCAATAGAGTTGTCACTCTGTGATTTTGCTGCGTATGAGGCCAATGCATCAAAAGGATTTATTTATAGATCATAAAATTCTCGGCTTAAAGTGGGACATTTTGCTTCTCTATTCTTCCCACTAATTATGAATTGTCACTGACTTTTGCAGTTACCTACTTAAATAGCATTGATTCTTATACAGTACATTTCCTATAGCGTGTTTATATGTATTCAGTATAAAAAACTGCACATGAAAACACAGAGATTAAAGTAAATTTTGATTGTATAGAAGGATGTAAAATTATGTGGATGTGTTCTTTTTATAAGAAAATAATCATCAGAAGTAGATATCAAGTATACTCTATGGTGGAATTTCTATTCTTTTTGTTTCTTTTATTCGTAATATTGGGTGACTTGTAGTATTTTAAATCCACACCAGAGACCTTTGTAGGGTATAATATTCTTGCCAAAAGAGAAGGAGTTACATGAGAATTTGACTGTAGCTGTCTTTGAAGGAGTAGGATTATGGATGGTTTCTGTTTCCCTCTGTTTCTTTATCTTCGTTTTCTTTTTCTGGAATGAAAATGTATTGCTTTTGTAATAAACAAAAACCGACCAAAAAATTATTTTTGGGGAAAAATAATGCTTCGTTGTAAAAAAAAACACAAGCTCTTTTAGAAAGCAATTTGTATGGTTTTTAGAGGCTAGGAAGTGGGGTGGGGTGGTTACGGAGAGATTGGTTAATGAATACAAAATTACAGCTGGATAGGAGGAATAAGTTTTAGGGTTGTATAGTACTGTAGAGTGAATATAGCAAACAATTTATTGTATATGTTCAAAAATCTAGAAGAGAGGATTTTGAAAGAAATCGTGAATGTTTGAGGTGATGGGTATCCTAGTTACCCTGATTTGTTCATTACACATTATACACGTGTATTGAAATATCACTCCGTACCCCATAAATGTGTGCCATTATTATGTGCCAACTAAAAATAAAAGGCAAATAATGAAACCAAAACAAAACAACAACAAGAAAGCAATTTGGAATAGAAGCAAGACATACATTGTAGCTCTCGGCCCAGGGGAGTTATTATCACAGCAAGGCAATGCCTGATCACAGTGCACACGAGTGGGATTTCTGTAAAGGAAAAAGAGAGAAAAACAACAGCATAGAGGCTAGGGAAAAAGCTCTTTCTAGTAGCAGAAACAACTGTTTACATGAAGTTGTATCTCAGCCTAGCATAGCCTTGAGGAACTCTTAGGTTTCATAGAGGAGAAGTTTGGGACCAAATTGTTGCCTCAGGTACAAGACAAAGGAGTTTTGTGCTTGACTTAGGAGGTGATGAAAACTCGTTGGAAAGTATTTGAGTAGGTGAGTGATCTGATTACTACTATGCTTTAGAAACGTTGACTGGCAACCTGGATTAGTGGCTTGGAGTATGGAATAACAGTAGAAAGAGTTTAGTAGTTGAAACTCTTTAAAATAGCCCAGAAGAGATCTTAAATTAGGCTCCAATTTTATGAGTGGAGTGGGTAAGATGAAGAAAAGATAATAAAAGAAAATGAGGCCAGGCGCGGTGGCTCATGCCTGTAATCCCAGCACTTTGGGAGGCCGAGATGGGAGGATCACCTGAGGCCTGGAGTTCAAGATCAGGCTGGCCAACCTGGTGAAACCCCGTCTCTACTAAAAATACAAAAAAAAAAAGCCAGGTGTGGTGACTGGCACCTGTAATCCCAGCTGCTGGGGAGGCAGAGACAGGAGAATCGCTTGAACCCAGGAGGCGGAGGTTGCAGTGAGCCAAGATTGTGCCACTGCTCTCCAGTCTGGGAAACAGAGCAAGACTCCGTCAAGAAAGAAAGAGAGAGAGAGAGAGAGAGAGAGAGAGAGAGAACGAAAAGAAGGAAGGAAGGAAAAGAAAGAAAGAAAGGAAAGAAAAGAAAGAAGGAAGGAAGGAAGGAAAAGAAAGAAGGAAGGAAGGAAGGAGGGAAAGAAAGAAAGAAAGAAAGAAAGAAAGAAAGAAAGAAAGAAAGAAAGAAAGAAAGAAAGAAAGACATCTTCACTTTACTGAAGACACTCCATGTATTTAATTCACAACTAAGTGAAGGCTGAAAATTGAAAATGAACTAAAAACTCCAGTCAAGTTTGATACGCAGTGGACCTGAGTTCCCAGACTCTTACTCTACTCCCTTAGTGGATTGCCCTTAAGATAAGATTCAAGGGCTTTAGAAAAAAAAAAAAAGCTGTGAAAAAGGCATTGATGGTAAGGTACTTGTTTCTTTCATTTTCTGCTTTATGGAATCCACATATTTAAGCTCACCTTGATGAATTCTATATTGAACATGTTAATAGAAATGATGACTAGAAGGAGAGAGGGGGAGGGAAACCGAAGAGCCTTCCCACCAGTCTATTATCACCTAGGGGCAGGATATACTAACTGAAGACTCATTTCTTCTGAGTAATACATATTTTTAATTTTCAAAAAAAAAAAAAATTTTTTTTGAGACAGAGTTTCACTCTTGTTGCCCAGGCTGGAGTGCAGTGGCGCGATCTCGGCTCACTGCAACCTCCATCTCCCGGGTTCAAGCGATTCTCCTTCATCAGCCTCCTGAGTAGCTGGGATTACAGGACCTGCCACCATGCCCAGCTCATTTTTTTTGTATTTTTTTTTAGTAGAAATGGGGTTTCATCATGTTGGCCAGGCTGGTCTCGAACTCCCAACCTCAGGTGATCCACCCGTCTCGGCCTCCCAAAGTGCTGGGATTACAGGCATGAGCCACTGTACCTGGCCTCAAAAAATTTTTTTATTTTGAAAAAAATGTTTATGGATTTAGGGGGTACAAGTATGCTTTTGTTACATGGATATATTGCGTAGTGGCGAAGTCTTGGCTTTTAGAGTAACTATCAACTGAACTGTGTGCCTAACATTTTAAAAAGTTGAATTCCAGAAACCTACAACATACAAAGTTATCAAAGAACTATCGTATTTGAGCTTCTTCTAGAAAAAGAAAATAAAGATGAAATATTTCTCTATGTTTTCTTATTAAAAATCATTGCTCTGTGCATAGTAGTTGCTCAAGAAATATCCATTGATAACTGGCTACATGAACAAATACATGAATGAACATTGAAATTACGATGCATTTTTGAAATCTATGTGAACACTGGGGTCTATAGTCTTTGCACTTTATAGACATTAGGTTTGTTAGAAAATAGAAAGGATCATGGTACCCAAATGAGAAAAATCATCCAGACAAGAACCCGTCACTCAGGACCTCAGGTACATATTGATTACAGTTTGCACTTCAGTGACCTAAGAGCAAGGGATGGGCTTAAAATAGAAGAAAATGTCATCTATTATTTCATAACTCAGTAGCTGAAATGCAGGCCCTACTTGGATAGAAAGACCTACAGCCTGGGTCAGAAGTCTGCCCCCTTGTTTAAATTCACATTGCACTATTGCACACTCCAAGTGTGGCTTCTCTCGAAGTGTTTCTTACCTCATAGGAGGCCTTGGCCTGTCTGAAATTGTTCTATGTTTCATCAGATTCCTTGACTGACACAACAAGAATGACAGCTGTGATGTGATTTAGAACCACCTATGTTAATGCTCATACAGTAATGACTTTTCTTCTTCTTGGCTATTTGGAGATATAAGGGAAGAGAAGATTAAATCTAAGAGATGGAAAATACACTTCTCATTAATATGGTCTTGGTCTTTTCAGACACACACACAATTTTTAATGAGTTCTTAAAATAGTTACTGTGTATTTTGACTTGGGAAAGGGATCTTAGACTGTGTGATCTGAACACCCTCCTCATTTTATGGAGGAGGAAATAAAAATCAAAATTTTAGCCAGGCTTGACGGTACATCCATCTGTAGTCACAGTGACTCAGGAGGCTGAGGTGGAAGGATCACTTGAGCCTAAGAGTTTAAGGCTGCAGGGAGCCATGATTGTGCCAATATACTCCAGCCTGGGTGACAGAACAAGACCTGGGCTCATAAAAATTATGAAAAGTAGACATTGAAAAGGTTTAATGAGTGTGCCAACTAAGGTGATGCTCATCTCTATCAGAACTATGGTGAAATCTAGGGGTTCTCTCCCACATTCTCAAGATAGCAGTCTGAAATTCCAGGGTACAGCACTTATTATAGGGAGAACACTTGGAAAGAACATCTTATGTTAGCTAAGAGTCTGAAATGGAATTCATTTCATATACCGT
Source organism: Homo sapiens (assembly GCF_000001405.40). Taxonomy (NCBI): domain Eukaryota; kingdom Metazoa; phylum Chordata; class Mammalia; order Primates; family Hominidae; genus Homo; species Homo sapiens. The sequence continues at coordinate 12,832,330 of NC_000006.12, forward strand.
AAAACTGAGCTGAATGTTCTGATACATTTAGCTTTAGAATGCTGCTGTCATTGCTAGGCCAGCATATTTGTCACACAGTAGCATGAAAATAAAAAACAAAAAATAAGCCGCTCTAGAACTGTAAGCATTACAAAATAATTTATGGCCTAACATGTCTCGAATAATCAGACAATTCATCTCTTGTCAACAGGAAGCACTTTGGGGTTTTTTTTCAACCTGGCCTTGGTAACTGGGACACAAATACTAAGCTCTTTAGGGAGTCAAGAACTTCTCATATGAAAGCCAATGAAGTCGCAAAGCAAGCAAAATTGGAATGTTTTTATTAAATGTGGTGTAATGCTCAAGATTTCACTTACCCCATTGCTTGTTTCAAAGCCCTTTGCCTCAATAAATAATTTAGTTTCAGACCTTTAAGCTGTTATTTGGAAAAGAACAGCCCCCACCCCCCATCTTTTGTTCCTCTTATGTTGTCAGGCACACAGATATATCAGTAATAGACACGGGGTGTGGAATAATATGCTAAATGCTAAAATGCCTTCTCTGAGCCAAAACATTTGACTTCTTTTCCATCACAATCAGTCTTAGGACACATGAGATAAGCAACCTGCAGCTTTAGACTATCAACTGTAATGTGATCAAAAGAGCAAATTCCAAATTAGCAATGGTTCCAAATTTGGTGAGGTAGATAGAATATGAGGAGACAGTCTCAATTGTGGAGCCAATTGATTGTGTGTCCATGAAGAAGTCACTTCACCTATGAGGTTCACTGTCTTCCCACTGTGAGGTGCCTCCTGCCTCTGGAATGCTGTGATGTAGAGGAACTATCCATGTGCTACTTGGGTTTTGGCTTCCTTTTCGTGTTAAACCTGGGCACATCTAAGGAATCTTTGATATACTAGATAATCTCTGCTCCACAAACCTGTAGTTCTTTTTTTTTCTTTTTTTTTGAGATGGAGTCCTGCTCTGTCACCCAGGCTGGAGTGCAGTGGTGCGATCTCAGCTCACTGCAACCTCTGCCTCCCAGGTTCACGCCATTCTCCTGCCTCATCCTCCTGAGTAGCTGGGATTACAGGTGCCCACCACCACACCTGGCTAATTTTTGTATTTTTAGTTGAGACAGGGTTTCACCATGTTGGCCAGGCTGGTCTCAAACTCCTGACTTCAGGTGATCTGCCCGCCTCAGCCTCCCAAAGTGCTGAGATTACAGACGTGAGCCACTGTGCCCGGCCAAACCTCCAATTCTTGAATGACATCTGAATATCTACTTCTGTCCATGTTCATCACCACGTTCATTGTATTTGAAAACATCACCTTTCTCATCCCAGTTATTTACTGGTCTCCTGCTTCCGCTCTTACATATACACACATGGACATGCACATGCATGTGGACACAGTTTATTCTTCATAGGGCAGCTGGGGTGAACACTTTTAACTATAAATCCTCTAATGGCCTCCTACTACACTGGAATAAAATCCCATCCCCTAGCCTGCTGTGGACAGTGCCTGGGCTGGCCCAGCCTCCCTCTCCTTCTACTCCTGCCCGTACTTACCATGCTTGGGCACTCTGACATTTGCACCAGTAACTCCCTCCAGCTGGAGTGGTCTTCCCTGATTATCCTGTAGCTGCATCGTTTTTGTAAATCAAGGTCTCAGTTTGGAGCTGCCCCCCTTAGAGAGACCTTCCTGATCCCCATCCTGACAGTAGGCTATGGTCACTCTTGGCTCTGATCAACCAGCTATAGTTCTGCAATAGCACTTATTGTTCTCTGAAATCATAATTTTATACTTGTCCACTGCTTTTATTCCCACCCATTCCCCTAAGATATTTGACAAGACTTTACTTATTCTTTCCATTGATGCGTATCACTAGAACAATGTCTAGCACATAGGTACTCAATAACTATTTTTCAAAAGATTCTGGAAGATAATAAAAATATGTTCCCTTTGGCTGAAGTAATTGTATTTTGTCAACCCTGGGACCTGATTGGCATAATACATCTATAGATATGAGTAGAAATGTCTCAACCTTCTTCCCTGGGGAGTTTGAGCTTGTGAAGTCTGATTCTCTAGGTTGACATTTCTGCAGATTGGGTAGAGTTAAGTAGGTTTAAAATGATAAAGTGAAATGGCAGTGTTATCCAAGAAGTTAAAATAGAGAAGGAAGGGTATCAGCACATAACTTACATTTTTAAACTACACAAAGGTATATGCAAAATGTGCACCCGTGAATAAAATTTATATAGATGTAGCTATGGCCAGGTGCACACACAAGTCCAGATAACTATAGCAGTGGGTGGAAACAAAAACTTGAGTAATACAAGCAAAACCTAATACCAAAAATAGTTTACCCTATTTTAGAGATGTAGTAGTCAGAGTCATAAGGTAATGAGATAAAAACAAAACTCAGAGTGTGTACGTCCAAATAAATATTTCTCTCAATATTGTCTTCAGAACACCATACAATATATTCTGCTTAAATATGCATATGGATTGATTCAAGTGACTAGTTTTTGATAGGTTGCTAGAACAATGTAGAACATTCTAGAACCTCCTAGAACAGAATGATTACTATCAGTGGTGGAAGCATCTGTACCTCTTCAAATACCCTCTTCGTAAAAATGTATGCTTGAAAGGCAAAATGATTTATTTGTGCCTCACAACCAATTAACAATGAAGATAATTCAGAAAAAGGGAGCAATGAGCTTAGGATGAAAAGCTAGAGAAGAGGTAAGAGTTGACCTGGATGGGATGTGAAGAGCTGGCAGAGCAAAGGCAGGCATCCCAAATGGAGAGAACCTGAGGAGAGTGCAGACCTCTTGTGGAAGGTAGAACTGAGTGTGGACAAACCTGGAGTAAGAGGTGAGAAGTCAGGTGGGGAACCTTGGGTAGGGTCACATTATAAAGACATTTCTTCCTTTCCAGCAGTGAGAAAAATGTGGAGAGAGGAAAATGAGGTTTTTCTGGGGACACCTGTGTCAGAGTGTGAGGCTTGGGGAGCAGCTGTGGGTAGTTCAGAGGAGGGTTGGACCGCTCCCTGGCCTAACCCTTAATCAAGGAGACGACTGTTGCAGTACGACAGGCCTGAAGGATTTGACCTTGAGAAGAAAGGCCGGTTGAGGAAATACTTTTAAACACTTATTTATTGGCTTTAATTTTCTTTCCTTATTTTTAATAGACTGTACATTGTCATTCAAAATTCAATAGTTTTAAAAGGGTATTCAGGAGAAATAAGTCTCCCTCCCAGCAACTAATATCACACATTTTTTGGATACCCATTTTAAGACATATTTTAGAGAAGAAAGTATGAATAGGGATAGACTAAATATTAATAATTTGCTATGTTTTATGCAATAGTTTATTCTTCACCATGGTTTTATGTTATCAACACCCTTTAAGGTAGATAGGACGGATGTTTTATTTCGATTTTGCTGACAAGGAAAGAGGATCAGAAAAGTTAAGTAACATAAAAAGTTAGTAGCTTTTTAGTGGAAATATCTAAATTAAGATTCAGGTTTTTGGGACACACACAAAAGAAAATACTTAAAGATAACTGCAAATGAAATTTCACATATACTAATTTCATCCTCAGTTTTTGAATAGCTGCAAAGCACAAAGTTTTAAATTTTTTTTGAAACAAAAATAAAAAAAAATTTAAATCCTCAGTGTGCCCACATTGTTTCCTTATAAAATCCTGTAAAACATAATGGCCTTTTATTTAAAACCACAAAACAACAATAATAATGGTTGCAATGCTTTTGAACTGAGTACCGAGGACTTTGTTTCAGCTTGAATTGCTTTCTGTAACCTGTAAGGAAGCCATCAGCCTCACCTGACTTCTAAAGTCATCAGAAAGTGCACCCACAGAGCCTTAAAATATGAAGTATCAGCCTGGTACTGAGTTTCAACTGCTGTCTCCCTCTTCTCTCTCCTGCCAACTCTGTTTCTTTTTTCAGTTTCAATTTCAGGACAAATGATGGAATAAGATTTTCTTTTTCCATTGGGCAAGCAATTTACCTGAATTCTTTTGGTGGCACCGTTTGGTAAACCTAAAGAAATCAAAGTCAAAACCTTGGATTCTTTTGAGTATTTGTTATCAGGATTATTCCCTTGTTGTATCCTTTTATTGATGTCAATAGCACAAAGGATACTAGGCTAAACAGAAGAATGGAACATCTCCAGCAATATTTAGAGAACTGGAAAGTGAAAAGACATCTTCAAGTACTAATCAGACTATCATTGAAACTGTCCCTGTAAACTTTATTAAATTAATCAGGGAAGAAGAGAGAAAGAAAAAATAAAAATAACCTAAGCCTGCAGCACATTCAGCATTAATTGCTAGGTCAGCTGCTCTCTGACCTGCTTCCTCACAGTTGTTTGGTGCCTGTTGTCCTAGCATCATGTAGACCCAGCTACAAAATTATAGTTTCCTTTAACTGTTCCATAGATAACAACCTGAACATCATGAAATGTTAAGTTTTCCCTTTGAGATGTTCTTTCAGGTCCTACATGCCAGTAAAACTACTGACATCAGCTGGTTTAAAGGACCCCACCAGAAGCTGGCTTATCAAGGAATGCAGTTTCCACATTCTGATGATTGCATCCCTCTTACCCCAACCAATCAATGACCTCAATTTTCCAGCCCCTCCCCCTCTATGTTCCTCTTTAAAACACCAGCCCAGAACTCCTTGAGGAGATGGATTTGAGAGCTTCCTCCCATCTCTTTGCTCAGTGTCCTGCAATCATTAAAGTCTTTCTCTGCTACAAACCCTGCTGTCTCAGTGTAATTGGTCTGTTACAGTGCAGCAAGCACAAAAACCTGTTGGTCCTATAATAGTGTCTTTGCAGATTTTCCAGAACCAATGCAGTAAAGAATGATGATAAAAAATTACAAATACCAGAGTTGGACTCGTTTAGCTTAAAGGTCCATTTCTAGAAATGATAGTTGAAATAATATCTGTGTAATATTGCTAGAGATATAAATTATATACTTTTAAAATTACTGTCTTTTAGTTACAAAGAGGAGAGAATTGTTCTAAGAAAGCAAGCACCTCCTCAATAATTCACTTTATAATTTAAATCTTCAAAATTATTTCAAATATTATCTGCCTTTCTCCAGGGAGCCAGGAGTTTCTTAAAGGCATTGTCTCATCAGTCCTATTAGTTCCAATGTAATGAAAAAATTAAGCAGATATCTAGCATCTTTTCCATTCTACTTCTGAAAAATAAAGATAAGGAAGAGATATCATTTGTCCAACTTAACACAGTTTACCTAAATGAGACAAACAAACCACAAAAATCTCTTTTTCTCTATGAATTGCAGCCCTACCCCAACGTAGCTATGTGGCCCTGGGCAAGTTTTAACAACCTAAGCAGCAACATTCTCTATAAAATGTGGATAAAACCTTCACAAAATTATTGGGAGTGCTACAGAGATATATATGTTAAAGTAACAAGCCAGTGACTGACAGTAATAGGTATGTGTATTAGTCTTCCAGTGCTGCACAGCAATGTGGCCTCAAACTTAGTGGCTTAAAACAACATATTTATCACCTCACAGGCTTAGCTGGATCCTCTGCTTCAGTGTCTCACAAAGCTGCAAAGGTGTTGGCCAGGGCTACATTCTCATCTGAAGGCCCAACTGGGGAAGGAGCCATTTCCAAGCTCATGTCATTGTCAGCAGAATTCAGTTCCTTGCAGTTGTAGGACTGAGGGACTTGGTTTCTCACCTGCTGTCAGCTGGAGGATCCTCAGTGGCAAGAGGCCACCCCAACACGGCTACTAGCTGCATTAACCAGCAAGTGAAAGCGTTTTCCTATATTGTATAATTACAGAAGTGACAGCCCGTCCCCGTGGCTATAACATACCGAGTAAAAACAAGTCACAGTTCCTGCTCACACACAAGAGAAAAGGGTCACATGAGGGTATGAAAATCAGAAGGCAGGGATCACAGAAGCCAACCTGGAGCCTGGTTGTGTCTGATGCCTGGTTCCTCCAGGCACTGTGTCTGTGTTTAATGCCACTGTATCTGATGCCTGTCTCCTCCTTTCCTATCTCACCACCCTTCCTTGTTTCGATTCCTAGATTGAAAGACCATATATAACCCCTGCTATCCAGCAAAATCTTGTCTATTCAGTTAAAGGCAGTACTTTAGAATTTCATAGAAATAAAATAGGAGAAGAAAATTCATGCTGGAAAATATTAAAAGTAGTAGTTTATAACAAGTTAAGTTGTCTTTGGTAAAATAAACAAGTAAAATTTCGTAAAATGGGAGGCCCTCATGTTCTCTTGTTTGTGCTTTTAATGCCATTTTGTTGGATGTGTTTGGAAAATGATTGCAACTCTAAATCAATGAGTACAAAAGCACTCATGAAATATGGGCACTACAAAATAATTTCATTCAATAGCCTCAAAATGGTTGTGAATTTGTGTTCCCCTAAGTATGGTTAAAAATAACCCCAACCCCCACATGAAGCAGAATGGCATTAATGCAGGTGTGAGTCAGCCTGGGCAGTTTGGCCATGTTTGATAAGCCTTATCTGCATCTCAGGTCTCTGGTCTCTAGGGTCTTCGGAAAATGTTGGGGTCTTTAAATTATAAGGCTGTTGCTGCTGCTGATGCTGCTGCCAATGATGATGGTACTAGCTAATATTTACTGTGTACTTACTGCATGTCATTTACTCTAAATGGTTCATATGTGTAATTTAATACAACCCTGGAAGAAAGGAACTGTTATTATTTCTATTTCACAAATGTAGAAACGGCCTTAGAGAGAATTAGGTCACATGGCTAGCAAGTAGCAGGGCCTGGATTCTAACCATAGAAAAGTTCAACCTCAGAACCTCAGAATTTGCTTTGAGGAATAGGGAACTTGAAGATGCAAATAAGAAGGCTAACAGTGGGTCTAAATACTCTTTTCAAAATGTCACAGGACTGCATGTTGAAGATGCATACATTGTATCTGTGACCAAGGAATGGTGTCAGCCCTTGCTCCTGTACTTGCCCCATCCTTGCTGCCACCCAGGCATCAAGCAAGCTATCATTCCTTCCCTTCAAGTCAGTCAGCAGGGAGTAATCAGGATATTTTTCATCCCCTCCACCCCACAGCGAGTCCTTTGTGGGGTTCAGTAAAGTCAGGTTTTGTCATGCCATAAAGCAGAGTAGCCAGGCTACTTCTGAGGTAGGCTGGCCCTTCTAGATATGTCATGGGGCCTGTGGGCTGGGTTCCTTCTGCCTGGTCCCACTGACCCCTCATAGGGGTACCAGGATTATCTTGGTCTCCTCAAGCCTCATCCTCCCAACTTGATTCCAAAGTCTGATGCAGTTAACAGAAACAGGATACTGGTCACCAACAGATCAAGATGTACACACAAGACAGTGAGTTCGCCCTTATGCATAACACACGGTTCGTTAAATTATAATGAATGAAGTAAGATCAATTGTCTATGGCATGCTGATGCTGAGTAACATTTCACACCTTGATCAGATGTGGTGAAGATAGGCTGCGCAGAAGGTGAAAACAGTGCCTGTGACTAGAAGACCAGAGTGTAGAGCGAACACGGCCATAAAGCAAGAACAGAGGATCATTGACTTATACTTTTTTTTTATTTATTCAGAGAGTACTCCCAGCACCAATGTAGGGGAATTAGATATTGATGAGAAATCACAAGCAGAGTTTTTATGTAGGTGTCATGTAGGAATGGTGTCAGCCCTTGCTCCTGTACTTGCCCCATCCTTGCTGCTACCCAGGCATCAAGCAAGCTATCATTCCTTCCCTTTAAGTCAGTCAGCAGGGAGTAATCAGGATATTTTTCATCCCCCTCCACCCCACAGCGAGTCCTTTGTAGGGACTGACTGATCAAGGGGATCTGATTACAGATCACTGACTTTGAAAATTATTTTCAAAAATATAAACCATTTGTATTTTATACTTTTTTGATGCTAATTCATTCAAGAATGCATGGTATGGATCTTTATAGAATTCATCTAAAAATGCAAAGCAACTGGCTTTAGTCAAGCCATTATCTTGGCATATCTAGCTTATTATCTTTAAATACTGCCCATTTGTTCTGTTAACTTGCTCCATCATGCTAACAACCTAAGCATAACAGAAAAGAAGACTGTGTTCATGAGAAAGGGGCTAGTGGAGCCTGTGTCCAGGGATCGACTTGTAGAAAAAGAGTCCAGACAGGAGAGCCTGCCAGAAGCTCTTTTCTGTATTGCTGCCTGGACCCACTCTCTCATCCAGGAAGAGCAACAGCAATGTATCACAGCAGTGGAACTTTCTGGGACCTTATGATGCAGCACTCAGTAAAATCCTAGATAGAAATGGGTAATTTAGACATAGGTTTCCTATACCCATACATCAGCACAAGTCTCACCATCTCTACCAAAAGGAAAGTACATAGGTCTACACCTCCACCCCCAAATTTATGTCTATTCAAAGGTAGTGACCATTTTCTCTTGCTCTTTTTGTTCAAATTTCCAGGGATATTATCACTGCTTTAAAGGAGAGTACTATGCATGAAGGAAGTATTTAAGTGATGCTTGTTGCATTGAGCTGATAAGGACATACTGCTACAGACTCAGCAATTGAGTTGATTTTGTGGATGGCACGGTCACTCTCTCAGCCATGCTGGGGCACAACCTTAAATAGGAGTCTAAGTGGGAACATGGAACTCACGAAAGTGGCACTCCGCAGGACGGGGTCTCCTGGCTGCATTAAAGCAGTGAGAAATATAAGAACTGACTTCGTTTTTTTACTGTCTGTTGCATAATATGCACTGCATTAAGCTCTTTGGGTAGAGTTACTTCACTTAATCCTCACAGCAATTCCTTATGGTATGAGATAAGAAAACTGAGATTTGGAGAAGTTAAATGACACATCCAAGGTCACACATTTAATAAGCTGTCAGATGAAGCCCTGACCCTAAGACCCTGTTTCTTCCATTAGACCAATGTGTTGTCTCTTCCTTTTTGTTGTTTGCTGTGCAGAATCACATCATTCTACTTAAAGAGTGTGCCTCTACCATAGTTGCACTAGGATGATTTGAGAGGCCACCAGCTTGAACCTGTTAAATTCTAGGAAACTCTCATTAAGATGAAAATGAGTGGGGCTTCACAATATCTCAGCTCCATGTACTTCTAATGCAGAGGAGAAGAGCATTATACAAATGAATTGAGCATCAGATATCAAGATTTTCTTTTTTGTTACATCACTAGGAAGATAAGAAATATTTTTTAAATGCTGATGACTAAATGGAAAATCAAATTTCCAGCATGCTCAGGGAGAAATATTAGTCAAACGGAATAATTCAGCATTTCAATGTTTACTGTAGCTATCTAGCTATCAAAAAGGGAGACTAGAAATGATAGTTTTAAAAATCAGTGTTCTATTTAAACAATTGAAAGAGTTGGCCAAGAATGTGTACAGTAAACATTTCAAGTTTATACCAAAAATCATTCTGATAATTATCCTGGTTTATCTGCAGTATCTGTTGTGGGAATCTTAACCCCTGGCAATATTCTTTTCTATGATATTATCATTTAATTAAGCAGCTTATTTCAGTTGTCCAAGGGCTTCTTACACCTTTATTTAAAAAAAAGGTAAAGAAGGCCCTTTAGAATCTTTTGATCTCATCTTGAATCTGTACAAGTTTGTGGCATCACTCAAAACAATCATGTTATTTTTATGCCACTAGTAATAAGGAGATTCATTCTAAGACAACTGTTTTTCTACCTTTTAATATAAGGCATATATAAATAAAATAAATAAAAATAAATCTGTAAAATAACATTGGAAAAAAATCTATAAGGAGAACAAATGATGCCTGTTTTATGTTTTACCCTTAAAAATTCTATTGAAACATTTCTGAAAACATCCCAATGAGTAATTTGCATTATTCAGATACAGTTAACTTGATTATTTAAAGCATAATTTCATGACTCATGAGTATCACTTCTCTCAGTGTGGCACACTACATAGACAGTCTTCAACTTTGCCAGTGTTACTGGGGAAAACATATGATAGTAAGGGTGTCATATTTTCCTGTAAGGACAATGTTGTAAGTAGGAGGCTGTGTAATTTTGCCCAATGGGTCAATGTCATAAATTACTGATGAACTGTTGAAATGATGTAATTTATAATTTTGAAATTATTTCAAATAGTAAAACACATTTTAATCAATGCATTTAAACAGTAAAGGTTTTTTATTTTTTATTTTTATTTTGAGACACGGTCTCAATCTCACTCTCACTCAGGCTGGAGTGCAGTGGTGTGATCAAGGCTCACTGCAGCCTCCACCTCCTGGGCCTAGGTGATCCTCCCACCTCAGCCCCCTGAGTAGCTGGGACTGTAGGCAAGTACTATCATGCCCAGCTGATTTTTTTTTTTGCTGTTGTTAGAGACAGGGTCTCACTCTGTTGCCAAGGCTGGTCTCAAACTCTTGGCCTTAAGCAATCCCATGCCTCGGCCTTCCAAAGTGCTGAGATTACAGGTGTGAGCTACCACACCCGGCCTAAAGGTGTTTTTTTCTAAATCTTGCAAAATCAACATTAATGTAATGTACCTATTGATTATTTAAAGAATGTCAATGTAACCATTAGATGGACATCTAGCACATAATTATAATTGTTTTGGAGGTCACAATTTGACTTATCTACCCTTTATATGCTACTTAAATGAAACATTTTCTTAGCAGTTTCTTTTTGTCATTGGAATGTAGGAAGACTTTGAGTTGATGTTTTGATGGTCCAAGTATCTTAATGTGGGAACTAGGACTCTTTTCTCTTGTTAAAATTCCCTATAGCAAGGAGAATATTCAGAACTTTTCTATTATTACTTAAGAGCAATAATCACTTTGAGTTGATCTTTGAAGACATGAAAATAAAAGTTATTTCTGTAGCTCCAATAAGGACTTTAGCTCCGGAGGTTTGGACAGCAGGTGCCTGAACTGTCTAGTCTTTTGGTTCACTTTCTTTTCATTGTTTCCCATTTCAGTGACAATTTTATGACAGCCTAGAAGGAAAAAAGGAGACACAAATGAGGAGGTCTAGAATCTGGTGTAGAAGCTTGAAGGCTGGGGGTGGCAGGTCGGGAGAGCAGAGCCCAGAGAGTGGAAAATAGCAGTTATGCACGTGTGTGTGTATAGACAGATAAATAGATAAACAGATAGAAAGATTGCTTTACCTAGAAATACCTATCTCTTTTGAAGCTGATGAGCAAACCAGTTGCTTGAAAACCATTGATTCCTCATAAATAATGTGTTAAACCATGCATCATAAATTGACAACTTCTTCTCAATGCCAATGAGAATAAGATGAAGGATTTCAGACCCACATGGGCAACTTGAGCTTTGCAGATATTCAAAGATGGTTAACTTTGAATATTCAAAGATGGTAAACTGACATTAAATGAAGGAGATGGTATGAGTAACAGACTTCATAGTAGGTATGACATGTGGTAGACTATCAATCAATAAAGTTCCCTTTACTCTTCACTGAAAACAGGTCAAGTCTGTATTAATATTTGTATACAATGTTTTAGCTGGTCATAAAAGTCATTTGTTTCTTTGCATCGATGGAGTGCAGTAGAAACAAAATAATTTTAAAGTCAAACAGACATAGGTGTGAATTTCAGCTCTATCCTCACTTGCTACGTGACCTTGAGCAATAATCACTTTGAGTCAATCTTTGAAGACATGAAACTAAAAGTTATTTCTTAGTTGGTGTCTCTGAACCCAAGGTTCCTCTTACATGAAATGAGATTTAAAATTTAACAAGAATCAGGCCAAGCGCAGTGGCTCATACCTATAATCCCAGCACATTGAGAGCCTGAGGCAGGATAACCACTTGAGGCCAGGAGTTTGAGATCAGCCTGGGCAACATAGCAAGATTCCATCGCTACAAAAAATTTTAAAACGTTAGCCGAATGTAGCAGTACACACTTGTCCTCCCAGCTACTTGGGAGGCTGAAGCAGGAGAACCCCTTGAGCCCAGGAAGTTGAGACTGCAATGAGCTGTGATCACACCACCGCACTCCATCCTGAGTGACAGAGCAAGACCCTATCCCCCGCCCCCAAAAAAACACAAATAAATAAATAAAATAAAACATTAACAAGAGCAACTATCGCACTGTGAGGTCAGAGAAAATATAGGTTAAGGCACCCAGGTCGTGATGCCTTTTATGATGTACTGGGCAAAGTTCTATGCGTACAGGACACTGAGGTAAAGCACACAAACCAGTTCCTTGCTCTAGGGAGTTTATATTTTGGTAGGCAAGTGTTCAATAACTGTTAGAATTTATTACTATCTGCAAACACTGCATTATAAAGCACAGAGAAATACTAGATGGAACATCCGCCTTCTGGAGCCTGCAATGTTTCAAGAAGTATTTGAGGTAGGAAGGAAAGAATTAAAGGTGAAAGAAAAAAAAAGAAAAGCAAGCAAGCCAGCAGCAGAAGGTACCACTAAAGAAATGATGGGAAAGTGGCTTGGGGAGGAAATTGGGCTACTGTTAAAAGCAATCCGTGGGCCTAGAAGAAAAACCTGTCCCCTCTGCTTAGCCCTCTAGTGGTGGGAACAAATAAAAACATAAATACTTGAGCAGCAAGTATAAACATAAATGCTTGAGCAGCAACAGACAAATTAACTGGTTACAGAAAGGCCACCTATTATGTTTCCCTTCTCCCCTGGTATAAGATTTTGAAGAAAAAAAATTAATAAAGCCATAATGGTATACATGTAATATGTGTGTGTTTGTGTGCATATTTATGCATATCTGCATCTGAGCGTTGGATCGACGTTTTTCAAAATTGTGGGTTTTTAAAAAATTTACAGCGTGATTATGTGTTTGGGCTGCTTATACATCAATGCATGATTTATAAGAGGGAAAGTGGAGAAGTGCCCTCAGTTATTTCGGTCTCTTTTCTTCTTCACCAGATCTCTTGATGCATAAGTGTTACCCATCACATAGGCCAGCAGATCTTTTGTAAATCCTTCCCCACTCTCTCCTTTGCATTTCAGTCTCCACTGCCAGGTGCTTGCTCATTCTTTTGCAGAGAGAAAGGAGAAGAGTGCCAAGATGTCATTGTGAACACCACCCACCCCCCCCCCCCCCGCCCTCCGTGCTGGGCAGTCTTTCTGCTGCTTTGCAGCATCAGATGGCAGCATTATCATCCATAGCACGGCAGGTATTTCCCCTCAGGGATTACTGTTTCTGTTCAGCACCGAGACAGTCTAATGTGCTGAGATTATTATCATATATAAGGCATTTGTGTAAGGTTTACCAAAAAAATACCTCCGAAAGGAAGATAGACTGAGGTTAATGCATCTCTTTAGTTTGCTTCCTGCACATCTGAGTGCCAGAATTCTGTGCTTTATTAAGTTCCTTTTGTGGGCTCTGATACGGAATTGTGCACATGCGTCCCTGCAATGTACGTTATCTTATTCCTTTTAAAAGGTGATTTGTCTCACCAGAAGGCAGTATTCTCTTAGGCTCGGCAAGAGTAACTTTGACTTCTTTGTTTAAAATAGCTCCCTTATTGTCCTTAACATTTCATCTGACAAAGTAAGCAATTTCATTGTGTGCAGATTTCATGCACCTGCTGAAAGTATGCATCTCTTCCCTGCCAATTCCTAAACCAAGCCAGCAAGGTGAATAGTTTAAATGTAATTTGTTTGCAGTTAGCAAAACTGTGGAGAGGAGGGAACTGATAACGATACTGAAGCCATTTCTTTAAAAACAAACAAACAAACAAACAAACAAACAAACTGAGTTCCAAACACATAACATGAAGACTTTCGCTCTCCACTTGGAAGGATGACTTTAGCCACATGTTGATATTTAATTGTTGGTCGGTGTGCCCAGTGGACTGCTTGGCACATAATGAGAGCTTAGTAAGCATGTGCGTTTGTCAATAGTTATCAATGAATGGATTGATAAATGTTGATGGCTGATACAGAGAATATAATCTTAACTATTCTGTAAATGGAAAATTTTAAGTTGGTACCAACACATGTCAGATACTTTTCTTGAGACAATACTGCAAATTTCCTTCAAAATAGTGACAGTTTTAAGGTCTCTGTGTTCTAATAAACCCAATTTCCTTTCAGCATCTTAAGGACCTTACTGTTAGGTAAAACTTTATGGGCAGATGTTTCCTAACAAAACTGAGTAGACCTTGAGTCTAAGATTCAGAGCTGCAAGGCATGCACTGATGTTACTTACAAACCAAACCAGATTTCTTACGTGTAAGGTGTGGTAGGAACACTTGGCTCTTATTGAGCTTTTTAGTCATATATTTGCTTGTTAACTTTTGAAGTAATATTAATCTTACAGGAATTTTGGAAATATAGGAATGTATAACATCATCACCTTAATAATTAATGCTTCTTTCGTCCTTTTTTTTTTTTGTGGCCTTAGGAGATTTGTGGTAATTGCAACTACAGTTTATATACCACTTAGCAACTTGCTTTTTATTTTTATTTTTATTTTTATTGAGACAGGGTCTCACTCTGCCACCCAGGCTGGAGTGCAGTGGCCGTCTCAGCTCACTGCAGCTTCTGCCTCCCATGCTCAAGGAATCTTCCAACCTCAGCTTCCTGAGTAGCTAGGACCACAGCTAGGACACACGCCACACACCCTGCTAATTTTTTTCTTTGTTTTTTTTTTGTAGAGATGGAGTTTCGCCATGTAGCCCAGGCTGGTCTCAAACTCCTGAGCTCAAGGGATCTGGCCGCGTTGGCCTCCCAAAGGGCTGGGATTATAGGCGTGAGCCACTGCGCCCAGCAGCAACTTGCTTTTTTTCTTTTGTTAAAGATAATGTTCTCTTATAAGCATTTTATGTTGCTGCATGGTCTTCATAGTTGTAGGTAATTCGACCACACCTGGTATAATCACATTCACAGATGTCATTTTTAACACCAGCATTATATATGTATATGTATAAATATACAGATATAGATAGGTAGGTAGGTAGATAGATACGGATAAATAATAGCCACTCACTATTTGTAAACTAAAGATTCAGCAATCTCATCTATGACAAAAGAGATGAGTCAAAAACCAAGAAACAAACTCTAAAGGTCTTTGAGTAGTCAACTTATATGACACAAAGCTCATTTATCTTAAGCACAGTGCTTCTCAATACTTACTGAGAATCTATGAATGTTAATTGACATATAAATCCAACACATTTGGTTATTAGTATTGATTTTAGTATTAGTATTAATATTTGTAGTGGCTAGAAACTGTTAGCCCAAAGAAAACAGAAAAACTATGAAAACAATTATACTACCTCAATGAGAACAGCAGCTTGCAGCCATCTAGTATAAGAAAAAAATTACTGAATACATCCCAAGATGTTTCAGTGGCACAGTATCCTAATTAAGATTCATGGTAATAAACTATTTAAAAAGTGCTACTTTACATTCAAGATGCTGTGTTTCCAAAGGCAGGAAAACAGCTAATATATCTTGAGATGTTTCCATCCAAAATTAATTTTAAAAAATTAAAGCTAAGGCTTAAAGGAACAAAACTCCTCAAAATTTGCCCCTTTGAAACGATTTCTATCTCACTGATACCAGTTAACTGAGGTTTTGAAAATATTCACTATTTCCGGTATATTATCTTTTATTTGAACTTTGATATATCTCACCATCTTGATGTGGTTAGAAGAACAGCCTTTCCTGAGACTGCAGCTGATCATTGGGCAGTGCTAGAATTGAACATCATAAAGAAGAAAAGGAAAATAAATGATTCATGATAACCAAATATTATCCTTGATGCCATGCACCGAGATTTTCATTAATCCATCCATAACTAGGCTAGATCAATAGCACGTATTGGTTATAAACAGAGTAACTAACCAACCCACACAAGAAATCAAACCTGTATGCTAACATTTTTATCTTAACCATCAGAAATGATCACTCGCTAATGGAAGATCAAGATTTGTCCATTTTCTCTGACATACTCTTACCAATATACATATATGTGCATATACATATGTTAAACTACAAGATTTTCTATAAACACAAACACACATAAGGGTGCTTGCTCATTTTTCTTTTCTCCTACTATCATTTTTTCCCAAGCTTCTTTAGGCTCCATTAGACTGAATCAAGGCGCCCATCTCATTTCTATTAAAAATCTAATGTAACTCGTAGAGACTTTTATTTGGAAATGTAATAGCATTTCATCTAGAAAGGAGGGGAGGGGCATTTGATAAAAGGTTTCTCAAGACAATTGGTTTGCAACATGCCTGAAGATTATCTCACTTTAAATGACATTTAATAGGTTTTTCTTCCACATCCTGATAAACATTTCAGTGTTACTGATCACTTTGAAAATAAGACTTGGGAACTTGAGCAAAAATGAGGAAAATAGCTAGGTTTCTGGTTCTGAATGTTTTTTCAAATGGCTTTCTGCTGTCAGAGAACACTAAATGAACTCCCCTGAGAAAGAAATCTACCTCAATTTAAAGGAAGCAAATCTTTTTTTCTTTTTTTAAGAAAGGGTTGTAAATTCTTGGATTAATGGCTGACAGTCAAAGGACATTCATTAGAACCACTAAAATGCCAAGGAAATCAGACTTTTTTTTTTTTCACTTCTCAAAGCACATTTAATCTTATTGCCTCCCAGTATCAATGATTGTTCTTTCTTGAATTTCAAAGACAGGCACTATTCTTTTTAAACAGAAGTCAAATGACTTTGCAGATGGCACCTGATTCATCTCACAGTGCAAATTCTCTAAAGGTGACATGGATGCCCCCTCTCCCCAGCAGGAAGTCTCCAGTGTGGCAAGAGTTAGATGCTGCAGTTTTCCCAACGTAAGAGCAATGACAGAAGCTCCCTAGGAGCGTGTGAAAGAATGAGCCAATTAGGAAGGCCTTGCCGCAATGCCAGTAGTTCTGGAAGACTTAAGTGCAGAGCCCTCACAATTAACAATAAAGCGCTTAGGCTTCAGTGTGGTGAGGTCCCACGTCGGTGATTCGGTCAGCCAGACCTTCGTTTCCTTGTATGAACACATATACTTGCCAGGAAGAGAAGGTACCCTATGTCGGGGAATGTGAGGATGCTGAGTTGTCTGCAACCCCCTGTGGAAAGCAGCTTCAGGCCGAACTCTTTGGAGACATGAATGATGGGTCTGATTGGAAGAGAAAAAATAGTCTAGATAGCACACAGTAATGGTAGTGGACAGGCTGAGCATGTAGGTCAGACAGCCTGGGGCTGGCACAGAGTCCATATGGGCGGGAAGTGCAAGAGCTAGGGAATGTTGAGATTTTGCTGATGTTATGATTTCATTGCTTTGCAGAACCGATGAGGCCTGGCATAGTTCAGGTCCCATGAACTATGATGTCATAAACCATCATCTGTGCAGCATTTAGAAGTTTTCCCGTCCCCCAGATAATGAAATAATAATGAGGGAAATGTCTTTCTTCTTTTTCCCCCAGAATTCCTAGGAATCTTTGAAATATAAAACAAAAATACACAATTCATACCCCCAATAATTATATTAACTAAACCATTAATTAATTATTAATTAAACCTTACAGTAGGAGGTTTTAATTTTCAGAAAATAAATAAAGCCATATTTATTCAAAATTAGGTGAGTCATACACTGCTTTGTCACTGAGATTTCCTGGGTGACTCCATGCTACAAAAATTAATGCCTGCTTCTTTTTCCTGCTCTGGCTTTGAGATCTTATAGGATTTCTTGTCTTCTATGTCCTTTCTCCTGCCATGTCATGGTATTTGACTGCATGGACTGAAACTTGGAATCGTCATGAATTCTTTTTTCCCTCTTGCCCTGGGCAAATTTTACCTCTTTATCTCTACTCCCTATTCTTATCCCAAAGCCTATGCCAGATATTGGATCTCCTTCTTCCGTCACAACTTCCAAGAAGCCACCAGAATAACAATGGTTACTGCTGCCCTAGCCTACAGTCTAACTCCTACCTCATCTACATTCACCACAGATACTGCTGATCGATGCCTGCACTCTTGCCCATCAGGCCCGCGTGCAGATGCAAAGTCCTCCTTCACTCTTGCTCCAGGGAGCCACTGCTAGTTAATCAACTTTGCACACAAGATGAAATTTTTTGCCATCCCTTCTGTATGGCATTGCCTGGGGAAGGGAAACTTTACTTCTTCATCATTTGTTCTCACTTTAGCAGAAAATCACTCTTTCCCAGTTGGGTCTCCAGTAGCCTTTGGCCTCATTCAGTCTTGGTATTTGTTTCCCAGTACTGCTGTAGCAAAGTACCAAAATCTGAGTGGCTTAAAATCATAGAAATGTATTGTCTGAGTCTGAAACCAAGGTGTCAGCAGGGCCATGCTCTATCTAATGGCTCTAGGGGAGGAGCCTCCCTTGCCTCTTCCAGCTTCTGATGTTTGGCAGTCCTTGGCATTTCTTGGCTTGTAAATGCATCATCCCAGTTACATGGCTGTCTTTTCCCTGTGTGTCTTCACGCCCTCTTCCTGCACGTGCCTCTGTGCCTCTTCTTCTCTCCTTATAAGAACACCAATTGTATTGGATCAGGTCCCACCTTCATGACCTCAACTTAACTCCCTTAAGTCTCCCAAGACCCTGTTTCCAAATAAGATCACATTCCAAGGTACGGGAATTCAGGACTTCAATATGTCTTCTTGGGGTGGGGGACATAATTAAACCCATAACTATATTCCAGTGTTTTCATACACCTATGTAGTATATCTAAATCTTCCCAATTTTAAGAGAGTTCGTGTGTTCACACATCTGAAAAATTCTGCCTCACCCTGATTCCACAAACTGGACATAATTATTGCAAACTCATACAAAGGCAATAGATTTAGAAAATCGGACATGTCCTTGGCCAGACTGATCAACAAGAATTGTACCAGGGAAGTGGGTGCTGAGCAATGGATGCAACAAGTATAAAGTGAGGCTTTGAACTTTAAATAGCCTAGTTCAAGGGAGGCTTGGGAAACAATACACAGGCGAACATTTAAATAACAATCTGGGACATTAATAAGGGAATGCAAGGAAATGCAGTGCTGTTGAGAATAGCAGTGGGTTTTGATGGCGTTAGAAAATGTTACCACAAAGGAATCCAACAATACTCAGATTTTGCCTTTCAATCAGCCAACAGCCTACAGATTTCCTGAGGGAAACAGACATGAGTAATAACAGTCTAATGCAATAAAAGGTTCCATTTTATCCTTAATTACGCAAGCACCCAGTAACTCATCATGCACAGCAATAGGAAAGCTGGGTTGGAATAGAGTCCGGCATATATGTAATTACACAGACGTCACATGCTTCTACTTTGATTTCCCAAATCCTTAATAATCTAATAGATTCTACATATTCTAAAGCAGTTGGAATTTTAAACTCTGAATTTTCCTTTAAAAAATAAAAATCTTACACAATCAGGCATTGCTCTGCCGAATGTTTTCTTTTGTCATGTATTCCATGATCTTTGGTACTACCACTGAAAAACAACATTTTTATTTTATTATTTTATTTTATTTATTATTATTATTTAAGACAGAGTCTTACTCTGTTACCCAGACTGGAGTGCAGTGGTGTGATTTCAGCTCATTGCAACCTCCACCTCCTGGGTTCAAGCGATTCTCCTACCTCAACCTCCTGAGTAGCTGAGATTACAGGTACGCGCCACCACACCCAGCTAACTTTTGTATTTTTAGTAGAGACAGGGTTTTGCCATGTTGGCCAGGCTGGTCTCAAACTCCTGACCTCAGGGGATTCCCCCTCCTTGGCCTCCCAAAGTGCTAGGATTACAGGCGTGAGCCACCACGCTAGGCCAAAAAACATTTTTATTATGTTCTAATATGTGGTAAGAGGTATTGAGGCCCTAAGAGAAATAATTGTGAAGCCAATTTAAAGTACCAGTAAATTGACGAGGGCCAAGCAACGTCCCAGAGCTGGGGTGACCCATGCCTTTCTCTTTTTCTTCCTCCCTATCCTATAAAAACAAACACATCTAACAACAGAAAACAACAAAAATCTTACCAAAGAAAGTCATAATCTCAATCAGAAGAATCCAACTTAAGAAATAATAGTACCAGACATAGAAATATGGAGGAAGGCAGAACGGGATGGTACAGCAGAAGTCAGGAACCAGATTCTGAATCTGCCGTTACCCAAAGTGGCAGAATTGAGCAAGACAGCTCACTTTCCTGGGACTCCGTTTCTTTCACCTGTCAAACAACAGAGTCAGACCAGATGATTTCTGCAATCTCTTTATATTTATATTTATATTTACTGATATATTTCTAGGCAGCATACAAAAACCCTGAAAATCCCCCTAGGTCTGTGGCCTAAAGCCTTCCAATATCCTGGAAAGCTTTCTGTGATATATGCTTCTCAATGGATCACAAAAGCATACAATCATTGCTGGTAGGAAATGAAAAAAGTAAACGTTGCTCAGAAAGTATTCAAAGAGGGCACTGATGTTACCAAAAAATCATTCCTCACTCTGATAGTTTATGACAGCAAAGCTTATAGAACTTGCTTTTAGGATACAAACTCCTTATCCAAGCATGCTGAAATCATGGCAATCTCTGGAAGTCATTGACTCTCGGATCTGGTGAGTACCCAAATTCATCACCTTCCTTTATCAGCACTGGGTATAATGCATCCTATGTGAAGAAATTGTAACCTAAGTCCTAAAATCTCTAGGTGCCTTCGCTCCTATGAGAACCTTTGCTATCTTATTGCAACTTGAAGCATCGATAATCCAGCCTTACTTCTAACCTAAGTCTCCAGCACTGCCTATTTCAATTCAATTTATTCAAAAGGCACATATTAAGTACCAACTGTCAAGAAACAAACATTGTAAAATGTATAAAATTGGATAAAAAACAATCCTGGGCTCAAAAAGTTAGTCTCTTGAAGAAATGGTAAACCTACGTCACATGTGCTGCCACTGCCCTGCTCCAGTGTCCCTTGCAGACTTTTTTTCTTTCCTATTCATGGACTCAGCCTCAGAATCTCCAACGAAACACCTAGACAGGCAAAAGAAGCTGATCAGATTTGGCACAGGAGATAGGATTTATTTGTTAACTCTGGTTGGCATGTCACGTCATGAGTCAAGACAATTTTTTAAATGCTAAGTAGAGATTCAAATAATGTGCTGAGAGAGTGAAAATGAAGGACAATTTATTCTGAATGAAGGGAACAGAGAGGGTGTATTAGTCCGTTCTCACACTGCTAATAAAGACATACCCAAGACTGGGTAATTTATAAAGGAAAGAGGTTTGATTGACTCATGGTTCCCCATTGCTGGGGAAGCCTCAGGAAACTTACAATCATGGTGCAAGGCTCCTCTTCACAGGTTGGCAGGAGGAAGAATGAGTACCCGGTGAAGGGGGAAGCCCCTTATAAACCCATCAGATCTTGTGAGAACTAACTCACTATCATGAGAACAGGATGGGGGAAACTGCCCCCCTGATTCAGTTATCTCTACCTGGTCCCTCTCAGGACATGTGGGGATTATGGGAGCTGTATACGATTCAAGATGAGATTTGGGTGGGGACACAGCCAAACTGTATCAGAGGGCTTCATGGATGAGAAGGTACTTACAAAAGACTTTACAAAATTAATATGATGTCAATAGGTAGATGTTTAGGGCCTGAATATTCCTGACTGGGACAAAAGCAGAAACAAAGACATATAGGCGTTGTCAATACGTATAGGTGGAACTACATGTATTGACAACCCCAGGTGACTGGGTTATGGGTGTATATAAGGCTATAGTGGGAAGCAAAACGTAACCTAGAGTTATGCCATGAAAAACCTTCAATGTCTTAGGAAATTTAACTTTTTATTCTGAGATGATGGAAATCCTTTTGAGGGAAAGTAGCAATGTACTACTTTGATTGATTCATTTAAAATGGAACAATAAATGCCCAAAGTACCCATTTCTCCAAAGAGCTGCCAAGCACAAGGTTTCTCCAAAATCTGCTTAAAGCTTTGTCATGGAAATGTGTATGTTTCTTTTGATTTCATTCCCTCAGATGTAGGGTAGTAGGCCAGGCTAATAGGATGTATTTTTGGTTGAACAACTTGTCTCAGAGGATGTTTGTACCTTGTTAGCATTTTCCCTTATTTCTATCAAATCAGGATAGAATGCTTTGTTGTGTACCTAAGGAAATATCACCGTTAGATGGATGAATTTTTGTCCAGGGACTTCCTGAATACCTAATTCTTAAAAACTTTGCTCAGCCTCAGCTTCTACACAGCCAAAGAAACTCAACAGAGTAAACAGGCAACCTACAGAATGGGAGAAATTATTTGCAAACTATGCATCCAACAAGGGTCTAATATCCAGAATCTATAAGGAACTTACACTAATCAACAAGAGAAAAACAAACAAGCCCATTAAAAAGTGGGCAAAGGATGGGAACAAACACTTCTCAAAAGACATAGAAGAGACCAAGAAACATATGAAACAATGCTCAACATTTTGACTTGCATCAGAGAGATGCAAGCCAAAACTACAATGGGATAGTATCTCACACCAGTCAGAATGGCTATTATTAAAAAGTCAAAAAATGTCAGCTGTTGGCAAGGTTGTAGAGAAAAGGGAATATACGTTGTTGGTGGGAACGCAAATTAGTACAGCCCCTGTGGAAAGCAGTTTGCAGATTTCTCAAACAACTAAAAATACATAGAACTACAATTTGACCCAGCAATCCCGTTAGTGGGTGTACTCTCAAAGGAAATTAATCATTCTACCAAAAGGACACATGTACTCATATTTATCATAACATTACTCACAATAGTAAAGACATGTAATCAACCTAGGTGCCTATCAATGGTGGACTGGATAAAGAAAATGTGGTATACATACACCATGAAATACTACACAGCCATAAAAAACCAATTGGCCGGGTGCCATAGCCCATGCCTGTAATCCTAGCATGCTGGGAGGCCTAGGCAGGAGGATGGCTTGACTCCAGGAGTTTGAGACTAGCTGGATGTGGTGGTGCATGTCTGTAGTTCCAGCTTTTCAGGAGGCTGAGGCCAGAGGATCTCTTCAGTCCAGAGGTTTGAGGCTGCAGTGAGTTATGATTATACCAATGCACCCTAGCCTGGGAGACAGGACGAGACCCTGTCTCTATGAGACAAAAAACAAACCCTAAAATTATGTCTTTTGCAGCAATACTGATGCGGTTGGAGGCCATTATCCTAAGCGAATTAACACAGAAACAGAAAATAAAATATCGCATGTTCTCATTTATAAGTGGGAGCTAAATTTTGGGTTCACAGGGTCATAAAGATGGGAAAAACAGACACTGGGAACTCCAGAAGAAGGGAGGGAGGAAGGGAGGTAGTGGCTGAAAATCTTCCTATTGGGTATTATGTTCACTATCTGGGCAATGGGATTAATAGAAGCCCAAACCTCAGCATAAAACAATGTACCCTTGTAACAAGCCTGACCATGTACCCCCGAATCTAAAATAAAATGGAAAGTTTAAAAAAATTAAAATAAAAATATTGGCTCAGAATCTGAAAATGTCATAAGAACAGTATTACCTGAGAATAAAAACATTAATTAAAGATTTATTACTTTGGTTACTTCCTGGCAAAATGGCTTAGAGTGAATCCTGGTTCTTTTAATTCCAGAGCCTTACAGCCCAGGGCATGTAAACTTTAAAGTTAATAGTCACAAACAAAAGCTGCTAAATTGGAAGAAGATTGTGACTAAAGGTAACATATATCTTTAATAATGATGGTTTTAAGAGAGGCAAGCAGTGGAAAAGCTCAGTGAATCTAAATTCAACTACAGCCCTATCTTCTTGGGACCCTAGGGGAGTAGAATTGTTTGGTCCATTCAACTCATTAAGTCACTGTCTACTTAAGCTTAAATCTAAAATTCACCCTTTCTTTTTTTCTTTTCTTTTTCTTTCTTTCTTTCTTTCTTTTTTTTTTTTTCTGAGACAGGAGTTTCGCTCTGTCGCCCAAGCTGGAGTGCAGTGGCGCGATCTCGGCTTACTGCAAGCTCCGCCTCCCAGGCTCAAGTGATTCTCCTGCCTCAGCCTCCCAAGTAGCTGGGACTACAGGCACCCGCCACCACGCCAGGGTAATTTTTTGTATTTTTAGTAGATGCGGTGTTTCACCATGTTAGCCAGGATGGTCTTCTCGATCTCCTGACCTAGTGATCCGTCCACCTCAGCCTTCCAAAGTGCTGGGATTACAGGCGTGAGCCACTGTGCCTGGCCCAAATTCATCCTTTCTTAAATTATCTGAAAAATAATTGCAGGACCAAATGCAAATCTATGATCAACCAAATATACAGGAGTCCTGTGATTACAGCGAATCCCACTTCCTGCTGGGTTTTTACTATAACCATCACCAGCCCTAAGGCTTTCAAGATCCTGCGTTCCCTGATCGGCTGTTCACTCCAACCAGCTCTCAGCAGCTGTGGTGAAAGAACGGTGATATGCCCTTGGCCAGTCTAAACAAAATGCTGGTTTTTATTTGAGAATTAAGCCAGAAGTACCCAGAGGATTGTCATCTTCACTAATGACCAGAGACAGAGACCGTGTTTTCTTGAACAATTTGCCTGCAGAAAAGGACCCTGCAGCGGCAAGGAAAATCTCAGAATCCTCAGCCCTTGAAAATTGAGGCTTCGGTCATTTCCATTCTCTTTTGAAACGGGGGGTTATTCTGTTTGAGGAATATTGTGTTTCAGATAGATTCAAACAACCAACTAAAAAAAGTATGACTCCTGAACACAGAACCTGGAAAAAACAATTTCCTCTTCTTAATAAGGACCTCTGTGTATGTAGTAAATCAAATGCTCATTTTCTTCACAGGGTTGTTTGTCTTTATTTTTCCTATGAGGTGTTTTCTGCCTGCGGGCCACAGTGCAATGGGAATTTATTCCTTAGATAAAAATTAGGTCAAATGTTATTCTACAAGAAGGATCTAAAATTTACACTTAAAGTGAGACTAATATACTTGCATGCTCATTAGAAAAAAATCAACATTCTCGTCAGGCGCGGTGGTTCATGCCTGTAGTCCCGGCACTGTGGGAGGCCGAGGCCAGAGGATCACGAGGTCAAGAGATGGAGACCATCCTGGCCAACATGGCTGTCTTTACTAAAAATACAAAAATTAGCTGTGTGTGGTGGTGCGTGCCTTTATTCCCAGCTACTAGGGAGGCTGAGGGAAGAGAATTGCTTGAACCCTGGAGGCTGAGGTTGCAGTGAGCTGAGATCGCGCTACTGCACTCCAGCCTGGGGACAGAATAAGACTCCATCTTAAAAAAAAAAAAAAATTCTCCCAGGCAGAAATAGCACTCATTGGTGATGAAGACGATCTTGCTGAATGAACTAACAGTATGAATTTGGGTTATTTTGTTGTTGCTGCTGTTGTTGTTGTTTTCTGTCACCAAAGCCTTGGACTGTACTTTTCAGCACTTCATCAGGATTAATGTCTCCCAGTACTAGTAATGATTCTCCCACCCTTAGGTAAAGAAATGAGACTCAATCGCCTGGCTTCAACCAAAGTCTACAGAAATGAAACAAGGGATTTGTAGTCACAAGATCTGGGTTTAAAGTCGGGAATTTACCACTTATTCACAGTCATCTTAGTGAGGTCATTTCAGTCATTCAGCAGACATGTATTGAGTGTTTCATCCATGCCAGATACCGTTCCAGGCATTTGAGAGGTAAAGATTACAGATATAGCCTGTTCTCGGTAAGTTTACGGTAGAGCAGAGAAACAGATATGCAATCTCCCTGCAACATGAAAGTTAAAATAATGTAAATTGCAGAAGTTGGAGTGCAAGGCACACAATGAGTTTGGCAGAAGGCTGGGAAGGCCTTTAAGGGACCTCACGAGGTGACATTTATATTGACAATGTCTCCAGCAGTCTGCATCTGACCTTTATTGTTAGAGGCACAGAAATTCTTTCTGGTCAGGGTCCCAGTGCACATCAGGCTTGCGGAGGCTGACGCTTGCTGATTACACTCTCAAAAGGCTGAAATGTACAAATCATAAAACCAATTTGTTAATTTAGAGGTAAATATATAACTGTCCAGTGCCCTAGTTATTTACACTTTCAGGTTTAATTTCTCATCTGTCAACATAGCAATAATGATAATAGTGGCACATTTGCTGTATACTTCATAAGAATGTGGCTAAGTTTGGAGATAAAGTCTAGCTATAGGTTGGGGTGCAGTGGCTCACACCTGTAATCCCCGCACTTTGGAAGGCCTAGGTGGGAGGATTGCTTGAGGCCAGGAGTTCAATGCAAGCCTGGGTAACATAGTGAGACCCCCATCTCTACAAAAAAAAATTTAAAAATTGCAGGACATGGTGGTGTGTGCCTATAGTCCCAGCTACTTGGTAGGCTGAGGTGGGAGGATCCCTTTTGCCCAAGAGTTTCAGTATGCAGTGAGTTATGATCATGCCACTGTACTCGACTGCTTTTATTTTTCTTAAAAAAAAGAGCCAACACATACATACACACACACACACACACACCACACACACACACACACAAAGTGCAGCTATCAAAACATCAACTATTCATTGAGTGTTTAATTTGCATTTTTTCTATTGTTAAGATGTTCAGTGTTCTTCTTCAATGTTAAGATGTGGATATTATGATGTCAGTTTCATAAGGGAGAAAACTAAAGCTTGGCGAATTTAAATAGCTTAATCAAGACCAGACAATTAAGATTCACATCCAAGATTTGAACCTGGCTGCCTTATTCCAAAACCTGTGGTGTTGGACCCTAAATATACAATTTCTCATGAAATGATAAAAATAAATCTGAAAGAGCTTTAGGAGCTGCAAAGACCTTTACAAACATGACTTAATAGGATGTGGCAAGAAACAAGGGTAAGCCAATGAAAATAATGGCTGGTTTTAAACCCTACTATCACAGGTTACTGGCCATTCTTTTTTAATACCCTACACATACTTTTTTTCCTAATGAAATATACAGCACTTGGGATATAACCATAAAAGAGCTGGTCAACATGCTCCATATCAGCGAATGATACTTACAGCTAATGTGTGTATTATAAATATAGTATATGTACACTATGTGTATGTAGCAATTTATAGTTTTTCTTTCCTATACATATTGGTAGTTTTCACCATGGCTTGAATGTCTCAAGCATATTTCATGAACTGAATATTGTACCAATGATGCTATGCTAAGTGATATCTAAATTTGACACTTATGATGGGTTTTATGCAGGTAAAAGTCCAGAGGCAATGAGAAAAGGTAGCAGTTGAGGATTTGAAGGGTTTTTTAAGTAGCAGCAGCAAACACATCTCAAGAACCGTGTGTGCAAGGTTGAGACTTTGAGAGCAGGTCTATGAACTAGGCCATCACCAAGTAGCCTGCCTGTCCCCCAAATGCTCACTGAGCTCTCTTCTTGATTAGGGATGATACCTCATCTTTGTACCCTTGCCAAAAACCAGTGTGTTCAACATCATTAACTAACATGGGCTCTAATACATGAGGACAATAGATGTTAATTCCAAATACACCAGAAATTCTCCAGAGAAAGCCTGTAAAATGGTGCCAATATTCTGCAGAAGGTTTTTAGAGCTAGGCGGCACCAACCCCACTAAGGTACCATTGCGCTTCCTGTAAAAATTCTTAACTAATGGCTTAAGAAGGACATCTTCATCATCATCATCATCATTATTATTATTATTATTATTAAGTTCTGGGATACATGTGCAGAACGTGCAGGTTTGTTACATAGGTATACATGTGCCATCGTGGTTTGCTACACCCATCAACCTGTCATCTACATTAGGTATTTCTCCTATTGCTATCCCTCCCCTTATCCCCCACTCCCTGACAGGCCCCAGTGTGTGATATTCCCCTCGGTGCCCATATGTTCCCATTGTTCAACTGCCACTTATGAACATTTATGTGGTGTTTCGTTTTCTGTTCCTATGTTAGTTTGCTGAGAATGATGGTTTCCAGCTTCATCCATGTCCGTGCAAAGGACATGAACTCATTCTTTTTTATGGTTGCAGAGTATTCCATGGTGTATGTGCCACATGTTCTTTATCCATTCTACCATTGATGGGCATTTAGGTTGGTTCCAAGTCTTTGCTATTGTGAATAGTGCTGCAATAAACATACATGTGCATGCGTCTTTATAGTAGAATGATTTATAATCATTTGGGTATATACCCAGTAATGGAATTGCTGGGTCAAATGGTATTTCTGGTGCTAGATCCTTGAAGAATCACCACACTGTCTTCCACAATGGTTGAACTAATTTACACTCCCACCAACAGTGTAAAAGCATTCCTGTTTCTCCACATCCTTTCCAGCATCTGTTGTTTCCTGACTTTTTAATGATCGCCATTCTAACTGGTATGAGATGGTATCTCATTGTGGTTTTGATTTGCATTTCTCTAATGACCAGTGATGATGAGCTCTTTTTCATATGTTCGTTGGCCACATAAATGTCTTCTTTTGAAAAGTGTCTGTTCATATAAGAAGCATATCTTAAGTGTACTCTTCTTCCAAGGTTATGATATAAGGATCGCTTGACAATTACAAAATTCATTGCTGATGTATTATACAAACTCTACTAATTTTTATGGGCAAGTAAGGCAACACTATAAAGTGGTTTTATAATTTCACACCATCTTCAAAATGTCATTGCCCTGGACATGTGGTCCATAGACAGTGCCATCATAGTGGCCATGCCTTTCTTCCCAAAACACTCACACACAGTTTTTGATGTGTTATTGACTGACCAGTATTTCCTAAATAAATTAGTAATGAACTACCAAAATGTAAACATTTTTGGTTGTGTTGACATTTAATAGAGAACACACTTTGTTTATTCAGGGACTTCTCTTGAGCTGCAGGGACTTGCCTGTTAGGCAATTGTGAAGGTTCTAATTTCTTAAAAGGAAGGTTCCATAAAAAGGCTTAACAAGTCACCCAACGCTACTATTCAGAAGACAAAAGGGAGGTTGCACTGTGGTTTGCCAATCTGGATATTCTTTAGACTACACACAGGTCCTGTTAACCAAACAACAAAAACAATAATAATGCTAACTCCATAGTCTTCCTTAGACTAGGACATCCCATATATAAACCTCAAGTTAAGACAGGCATTTTAGCCATGTGTTGTAATGAAATATATGCTGAATTGAAAAGAGGAAACAGAGAAGCTAAACTCCTTTACCAATGACTTCCCATCACTGTATTGCTCTTCTGCTGTTAGAAGAAGAATAGCTCAATGAAACAGGGTAGAGGCTCTGTGCTGTAAGTAAAGGAGGAGCAGTGGTCTTCTTTGTTTTAAGTAAGTCAGTTATGAACATGTAACTTACAAAAGTTTGTCTTTTCAGTTCTTTTCTTTAGACTGCAATTAACCATACTCTCCCATATATAAATACTATGTAGGACATCTAACCGTATCATTTCTGGCAAGAAGTACACATTCTGACCAGAACCAAAAACTTGGCTCTATGCCAGAATAGCTCATTTCGATCAGTTCATTTTTTAAAAAAATTAACCTTGGAAATAAATACATATATACACAAAAACACACATATATGTAAATATATATGAATGGATGTGGGCATATATATTAGTATATGTAAAGTACCATGTATGTATTACAAAATGTGTGTGTGTGTATCATAAAACTATGATTACCATGTGTAAGTTACTATGCCAATAATTTATATGTTAGTGGAAGTAAAGGTGAGGGATCTACAGATAAATATTGTCTGTGCTTTTAAAGAAGCTTATATTCTAGGAAGAGAGACCCAACATGAATTCTAATATAATATGGAAGTGTGAAAGGAGAGAGCAGATGGAAGGAGAAAGACTTGTGTGTGGGCTGACTGTAAAGCAGCCAACCTCAATATTCCGTATGAAAACACCAGTATCGGGGTATAGGCAGCGACAGCACTTGTAAATTCAGCATGAGTTGCATGGTTGGCCAATGTTGGTGAGTCCTGTGGAGATCTGGAGCCAGAATGGCCTGACCTTGAGCACAGGGGATCTTACTGAGACATCAGGAAGAAATAATGCCCCTGGAGTCACAGTCTAGGTCAACTACAAAGCACTAGATCTGGGAGACTGTGAGGAAGGAGGAAACACACCTCTACTGTCCATCTCAGGGTCACCGGCATACACTGGGGGATGGCTCTTATCACAGAGATACTTACTGTTTAGGGCCACATCCCCCTCCCTTACAAGCCCGAGACAAGAGAAGAATGATCAGTGGTAAGTTACTACTCATACAGCCATTAAAAAGTTCAACAGAGTTTCAGCAAATACTTCTGCTTTTTCATACACCACAGGGATCATGATGCACCATGCTATTTGCGTTCAGCAGGGTCTAGAACAAGGAATAAAGGAAACTGAAAAAAAAGCACATCTTCTCTGATGTGTGTGCACATCTGAGAAACTTTTGGAACCAAAATTATATCTCCATGCACCTTCTACTACTAATTAATTACAGCAACCTACAATATATAAATAACCTTGTACCAGATTCTATATGTAAGAGTCTAGAAGTGGCCAGGAAGACCCCTCTGCAATTGAAGCAACTGTGTTGAATGAACAGAACAGTGACCTCTTCTTTGGAAGACATGGGTTCCACCCCAGAGCTACCCCTTACCACCTGTGTCCTTGAGCAAGTCATTGAAACTCTCAGAACCATAGCTTTTCACCTTTAGATGGGGACTCTGATAAATACATCACAATAATCCATTAAAGGGCTTTATGAACTCTACAGCTGTATAATTGTCAGCAGCATTTGCTAACATATACAGTATGTAGAGAAGTTATGAAGTTGGAGTCTTTACTGTATAGATTAGTCTGCTCAGGCTGCTGCAATGAAGTACCACAGACTGGGTAACTCAAAGAATAGATATTTATTTCTCACAGTTCTGAAGGCTGGATGTCTAAGATCAAGGTGCTAGCCCCCTTGAGGGCCCTCTTCCTGGCTTGCAGACAGCTGCCTTCTCATGGTATCCTCATGTGATGGAGACTGAGTAAGCTCTGTTCTCTCTTTCTCTTTCTATAAGGCACCAATACCATCAGGGGGATTCATGACCTCCTATAAACCTGATTAATTCCCAAAGGCCCCACCTCTAAATACTGTCATATTGGGGTTAGGACTTTTGAAGGAGACACAAACATTCAGTCCATAATACTGTAATATCGAGATGACTATTGTTTTTATTAAGCCAGCAGAAAACAGATAAGGAGGTGAGATTATGAAATGCCCTGAATGAGCTTTTCCCATTCAAAGGCCAGGATCTGATCACAGAAGTGCAGTCCTGGGAGGACATTCTCAGGAAATAAATGTGTTGTTTAAAAGTTAAGAAAATCAGGTTTGGGTAATCACAATTTCATGCTACAAAATAGGATGATAATTGATTTGACGCTTACCTTCTTCATAAAATGTATTTGTTATGTTGCCCAGCATTTCAAGTAATAAAACATCTTTGAAAATAAAATAAAAAGGCCCAGGTGATTTTTGTGTGTGTGTGTAGATCCACAGGAGCAACAATTGCTGAGGGTGAGTTCAGTGAAGGTAAATTCTGTAGCAGTTCATGATTCATGAGATTAACTTACAGCAGACGTAGGAAAGGTAAATGGGTAGTAGAGAGGATACAGTTGTTCGAGTTTCATGCACCGACACTAAGGCATTGTGAATCTGGTACCATGTGAAATAGTTACCATTGCTGGTGGTATTCAATACCTTTAATTTCCTGATCTGGCGTAGAGTGGTAATAGAAAAGCTAGACTCAACACCCGATTTATTGGACTGTCTTACTAATCCACTGAGTGTCAATCACAAATAAGGAAGCGAGGATGTGGGTACACAAATTCAGTGGTTCTCAAACTTTTACTGCATGTATGTGAATTGCCTGAAGGGGTTGTACAAACAGATTGCTGGGCCCCATCCCCACAGTGTCGGGTTCAGTTGATTGATGTGGGGCCTGGGAATTTCCATTTTTAACATGTTCTCAGGTGATATTGATGCTGCTGATTCAAAAGGGTGTTGCTGTTTGCGAACTCCATGTAATTAAGAGGAAAATCAGGTCGGGCGCCCTGGCTCACGCCTGTAATCCCAGCACTTTGGGAGGCCGAGGTGGGCGGATCACGAGGTCAGAAGATCCAGACCATCCTGGCTAACACGCTGAAACCCCTTCTCTACTAAAAATACAAAAAATTAGCCGGTCATGGTGGTGGGCACCTGTAGTCCCAGCTACTCGGGAGGCTGAGGCAGGAGAATGGCGTGAACCCAGGAGGCGAAGCTTGCAGTGAGCTGAGATTGCGCCACTGAACTCCAGCCTGGGCAACAGAGTGAGACTCTGTCTCATAAAGAAAAAAAAAAAAAACAGAAGGAAATCACACCCCCACAGTCTTAAATTCTAAGAAATAATTCCTTCAGTTAATTTGTCCTTTTGAAGAGATTCAGTGAAAATCCATGAGACAAACATGGAGACCTCCATGGACTAGAGCATAGTTTCCAGTGTGGATTTCTTCAGTAGCTTAAAGGATTTCATGGTTGACTTATACAGCCCGGCATTTATAATCCACTTCATTCTCTTCTTGATTTTCTTGTTTGTGGCCCTAATCGACTGTTCTTCATTGCTATCTACACAACTAAGTGTGGTGTGCTAGTGCCACTGTGTTAGTGCTGGTTAGCACTAGCCAAGGGCAAGAAGTGGAGGGTAGGGAAGAAAAGGCAAGAGACAGGGTGACCAACCCTTCCCAGTTTTCCTGGGACTACCCCAACTTTTAAAATGGGAAGTTCCTCATCCCAGGAAAACCCCCAGTCCCGGACAACTATGATGGATAGCCACCGTAGCAGAGGCACAGCTTCTGTGGCACTGGGAGGACACTGTGGGCACTGGGAGGACTAGGCAGAGGGAGGAAGGATAAAGACCACTGATAATGTTATTTATACTGACATCTTGACAGCACTGCTTCAGACTAGTGAAATGCCTTGACAATGATGGTATCATGGGAGCAGAAAAATATCCTTCAATACTGATGCACTAATTTGACAAATACCAGCAAGGTCATACCTGCTGCCTTCTGTCTAGATTCCAATATGAGGCTATTGCTGAGATACCATGTAATTGTTTAATGGGTGTGTGTGTGTGTGTGTGTGTGCCTGCGTGTGTGTAGACAATCCTTCATCCCCAGGCTCTTTTAATCTTTGATTCTCTGGTCTTTTCACTCTCTTTAATGGGCACCTTTGTACACTATTCCTATAGGCAGTGGCGTGCTCAGTAGTCTGAAGCTGTAACAAAGCTTCACCATTGTGAAAGCTCTGTCATCCTCTGCTTATTAGAACCATTCAAATATAATAGTTTGCAAAGCTGTAAAATGACAGGTTTGAATTTCTTGATGTTCCGGGACAGTCCCACTTCTAGACAGCTTGCTATGTTTTTCCCACAAGTGTCCTTGATCTTATTGGATGTGGGGGATTCATTTCTTGCATGAGGAGTTTGGTATGTTTTCTTCCAGCTATAAAACCTAATGATTCTCTTCCCCTAGGGAATGCAGATGGCTCAATGATGAAGTTCAGTGGGAGAGCACTGCTTGGCCCTAGGTTCCATCCTGTGCTTTTTGTCTTTTCCCTCCTCCCTCCCCACCCTAAGAAAGGCACCGCCTCCAACAGGAACAGCTGAGGGAGCCTCAGAGTCATCCCCTTTCTGCCTGAGAGAGTGATTCCGGAGGGAGATTTACAACTCTTTCAATTATGTTTTATATTGTATGGGGATAGGCATGGTACTCAGCAAATTTCAGCCCAAGCAACAGTTTTGGGGAAGAACCATAATGATAATAATGCCAGAATTTATTCTTTCCGTGTGCCTAAGTAATTCAAGCTGATGGTGGTGTTTCTGATTACAGACTGAAAGCTTTTCGCTTACTCTCATTTAGAACAAATGGTATATCAAGCAAACAGATTGCATATATTATAGGACCTGAGCTTTTCCTGGTAAAGAAAAAGAGAGAAAAATATTTGGGTTGCATTTTAAACTTAACCTATGGGCTATTTTAACCTCTTCCTCTCTCCCCACCCTTCCACCCACATCCCTGGTAGAGGACTGGTTCCAGGCAGCTCTGAAATTCTCTCATCCATTTCTCTCTCCCTGAAAAAGAATGGAAAAGTTTCAAGAATTTTCCCCCTGCACCCCAGGACTGCTATTTTTTTTTTTATGTCAGAAAGAATTGGTACCTACAAGGCTCCGCCCACTCAATCTTCTTTCCTCCCACACACATGCCATGTCTTTGTAGGCTGATTTGGGGTAATTGAGAAGTCATATTCACAACGTACCATTTATATTCACAATGGTTAAGGAGGCTCTGCAGGGTGCCCAGCTTCCCTCTGCAAATAAAATATTATGCAAGTTGCCTTGCTGAGAAGAGACTCTGTGCTTTGGTGGCAGAGAAGAAATGCCAACAATAGATGGGAGGTATTTTCAGCAGGCTTGTATGCTAGGAAACCAAGTGGCCCGTAGGTGCTAAACTAGCTTTCTGTTTGTCACTGCTGTTGAACCGAAACAAAGCTTTCAAAGGAAATACGTGGTACCGTATGGATTTCAGGGCTACAATGCCATTTTGCAAAATGCTTTTTTATCCTCCTCTCTCCCTCCCCCCAGTTGCCCATTGTGTTTGCTAAGTTTTAAGCTTAGCTAATAGTTTGGAACCTGTAGTGAAGAGAGAGAGAGAGAAGTTCACCAGGCTACAAGCTGCATCAGGCACTGGTGAAAGGAAAAAAAATCAGGCCTCCAGCGAAGGGGGGTTTGCAACATACTTAGGCAAAGGCTCAGTTTTGGACCTCCAGCCTGGGTATTTGTACTGGTCTCTTCAGTTCAGAGGTCAAGACCAAAACCCAGGTCACTTGATCCCCATCCTAGCACTCTAGCCTTCACAGTAGGCACCTGACTGTCTTCTGCATCTTCTGTGGTGGCTGCTTCTAGGAGGCAAGGGAGAGTTGAACCTCACTAGGCTCATTGCAAACTGGAAATAACAATACCTAAATGATCAAGTTCTTCCAACAATTGAATTACATAATGTACAAGTTATTCCTATTTGTTATGCTCTTTTCTAAATTCTTAATATGCACCAATTCCTTTATTAGTAACCATAATGAATTCCAGCTCAGTTATTATCCCCACTTCATTGAAAGTGAGAATGAGGTACAGAGATGGCAACTGACTTGCCCCAGAGGTTAATTAATTCAATGTTTGACAAGGCGCTAATGAATGGAGGAATTAGAATTTTAACACTAGCCCTCTTGCTGGAGAAACTCAGTTCATTATCAGAGCCCTCTCCCAATGCCTAATACATAGCAGCACTTCACAAAATACAAATACGCTGTCATTATCAGTATTAAGAATTTTAAAGTCAGGTGACTACATTGCAAGATGGTGAAATATCAAGAGGTATTTGTTGGGTTTTTTTCCTCCTTTTGTTCCTTGCATAATTTAACTAGATTACCAGAAGCAAGGGGAAGGGAGGAACTGGCCTATTGTCTGTGTGTGGGTAGACATATAAGACAGTCTGTATGCCTAGACCCCTCTATTTTTAGACTAACATTGCCACAGTTCCACACCAATCCATAGATATATTTGCTGGGAATAAGAAGTTCAGGTGCTAAGGCCAGGTACGGTGGCTCATGCCTGTAATCTCAGCACTTTGGGAGGCCAAGGCGGGCAGATCACGAGGTCAGGAGATGGAGACCATCCTGGCCAAATGGCGAAATCCCATCTCTACTAAAAATACAAAAATTAGCTAGGCGTGGTGGCACATACCTATAATCCTAGCTACTCAGGAGGCTGAAGCAGGAGAATCGCTTGAACCAGGGAGTCGGAGGTTGCAGTGAACCAAGATCGCGCCACTGCACTCCAGCCTGGCAACAGGGCGAGACTCTATCTCAAAAAGAAAAAAAAAAAAAAAAAGTTCAGGTGCTGACCAGTGCACATGTCAACCCTTCTAACCCTACCATATTTCTGAAGTTCCTTAAGGAATGATAACCATCTTTTTTTTCTTGTTGTTCATGATGAGATGATATGTATTTCTAAAGATGCATTTGGCATGAAAATACATATTCTGGAGATGTCAACCCCAGTAGAGAAAGGGGAGAGGACACGTGAAGCCAGGATTGGCTGGGAGACAGTCCACAGTCTATCAAGATGAGTGAATCAAGACTCTTTCATCGATTTCACCAAAATAGCACTTGGGGAAGAAGATGGAGATATTGCAGAGAAACACATAATAATAGCAGACAGAGAAAGAAAGGAGCAATGGGAAAGGGTGAGGAGAGGGGAAAGAGAAGAAAGTTGTCAAATTCTTTCTTACTACTCTGAAAATAGCAAAAAGCATATGTCCTGGCCTTTCCCCAGAGGATCATAGAAAGAGTGTAGCAACAGTTTATGAAAACTTAAGGGCAGTTTAAAACATGACCAGGACCTAGACCCCAGGCAGGCATTCTATCATTTAGAACAAAAAGAAAATAATAGCTTCATATTGTCTTTTCACCAAAAGCCAGGAAAATATAAGAACCTCAATTCTGCTTGGAATTCCAAGCAGAATTCCAAAGGGGTTCCACTTTGGAGAACCCCTTTTAGGTAAGAATATCCTAAAA
This sequence comes from Homo sapiens, assembly GCF_000001405.40. NCBI lineage: Eukaryota > Metazoa > Chordata > Mammalia > Primates > Hominidae > Homo > Homo sapiens. The sequence goes on from NC_000006.12 coordinate 12,868,965, forward strand.
CTTGCCCAGTAGTCGGTTCCAGGTCTTGGGTAGCAGGTCCTTGTGAATTCTATTTTACAATCACTAGCAAAGTTCAACATACTCTTCTCTTCATCCAAGCCCCTTTCTACTGCCACCCACAGCCTCCTAATCTGCATGTCCCTCAGAGCTGACTGTGCTTCAGGTAGAACAACCCTGGGCCACCAGAGACTCACAGGGCATTGATAGATTCCCAGCCTGTGGCTGACAGTGGTTCCCCAAGATGTACAGAATGAGGGACAAATTTAGTAGAACATGTAGATTCCTCTATCACCCACCTCCACTTCATAGTCCAACCCTATTTCCCACCCCTAGCACCACCTGCCTACTAATCCAGTCCTGTCTCACACTCCATGCACCTCTACCTAAGAGTCCAGCCCTATCCCAATCCCTTGCACCTCCTCCTGATGATCCAGTCCTAGCCTCAACCACCTGTGCCTCTTCCCAATAGTCCATCTTCTGCACCTCCACCTTCCTGTCTAGCCCTAGCCCCCACTTTGTACCACAATACTGGTCCTCCTGCAGCTTTCCCTGATGGTCCAGCCCTATCTACCACCCTTGCACCTTCCCCTGATGATCTAGCCCTATGCTTGACACTCCAACTAAACTGGGCTCTTCACTGCATTGCAAACCAGTCCTCCTCCTTCCTGCTGACCATAGTGCTTTTGTTAATCACGTTCACTCTGCCTGAATGTCCTTCACAGTCTCTATTCTTGAAATCTCCCCACCTACATGAGATTCTTTTGGATCAGAATTTCTCTATCTTCTCTGTCTGTGGCTCTTTTTAGCCACCTCTTTTTGGTACTTAGCACATTCTATTTTGTAGTTCTATACATTTGAGTGTATCTTTCACACATACGAGAGTGTAAAGTCAATGAACTTGAGTACAGTACCACAGATCTTTTTAGCAATAGTTCCTGAGCTCTTACTCTGTGTCAGGCATTGTCCCTGGTCCTAGGGTTATAAGGTGACTAAACTGTGACCTTAGATAACCTTATGTGATAGTCTGATTATTTATATTGCCCTGCAGCACCTGGCTAAGTGCCTGTAACAAGCCCTCATACATTTTATTGGATCGAATGAAAGAGGAGAAGCAAATTAGCTGGCTGAATGATCACTGTGGATGAATAAGGACATGGAAAAAAAAAAAAAACTCCAATGCTTCCCCTGTATCAACAACATCTCTAATTGGCTCAAGGCAAACATGCACATTTTCTTCAATAAGATGTCAGAGAATGCAGCAGTACATGTAGGTGTAATTACACAGTGCTCTGTCATTCAAAGACATTCTTTGACACTCTCATTTCAGGCAAAGAAATACATATCTTGCTTAGAATGCTTTTCTTTTTCTTCTTTTTTTAGACTATTGCTATGTAATCTAATTCAATTCTTTTAAATGGAAGATTCATTAATGTATGATTACATGTTTCATCAAGGAGATTTTATCAACTCCCCATTTGGAGAGGGATTTGGTAGAATGATTTTTACTAGAAAATGTCAGCCTGCGAAATGTTTAAAATTACAATCATCTAGAAAACACACTGGAAATTCCTTGGGAATTTTATTTGAAGGGTCTGTGTCTCTACATCAGGCACATCTATAATTGCACATATACATATAATTGCACATCTATAATTGCACATATACAGATACACAGGTACACACAACCACGTGCATTTTTCTCTTTCTCCACCTTTGCATGCTGAAGTACGTTAAGCCTCTCCTTCTGGGTACATCAAAACTTCCTAAGCCCATCCTCATACTTCCATTTCCAGCTAGGAGTCAACAGCCACATACACTCACTGACAGGATTGTCTTGGACTGGTGAGTTGGGAAGCTGACTTTTATCAGCTTCTAAAAGGTTTCACCAAAGCAGCTTTGTTTTTGTTTTTTATAAATTAACTCTACAAAAACAAGAGCTAATATCAGTACGTGGGGAAAGTAGTTAATCCTCATACTCAGGAAATAAAATGACTGTCTTGAGACTAAGACTCGAGTAATCATCTGTAATCAATGAGTTTAGGCTTGTGTAGAAGTAATCTAAGAGACTCTTAGCAAATGTGTGGCTGCAACTTTATGGAAAGACCCAAATCTAATCTATCTAGGAAGGAATGAAAGGTATATGATAGCAACTAAGAAAGTTGAAAACTGATGAAGAAGAAAGACTTCTAGCAGAAAATGGACTTCATAGATTCAAGGAAAGGGGGCCAGATGAAAAGAATGTGTTGGTATTTGCTCACCGCTATGTGCTACTGGACTTTGGGACATAAGTATGGATCACACACCTGATTCACTAGACATTTACAAGTCCCAGCCCCACCCTAAAAATGCCTCAAAACGCTTCCCTGTGTCCAAATGTTCTAATAATTTTACAAATGGCTTTTTACAATTGGTTTCTCATAATCATGATCCTAAAAGAGATGCTCACATTGCGTTTGACTTATAAGCTTTTTAAGTCTCAATGTATGAGAGTTCCCCCTTTGATTATGTGGTTTGTTATGGAAAATGGATCCTTTAATCTGCAGCATTTCCTGCATTCTAGATTTAGCTTGTTTCATCCCCATAGTGTCATTTGCCATGCTTCTCTATACCTGATATTTTCTGAAAACTGGCCTGATAAGATTCAGGTTCAGTTCTTTGCCAAGAATACTTTATGGGTAGTCATCTAAGGTCTGATTGCCCCCTGTTTGGTGATGTGAAGGTTGATTAATGGGCTTAGTTAGGTAGTGTCAGCCCGATCCATCCATTCTGAAGTTCCTCGCCAATCTTTCACCTAAACATTTTCACAGCTGTTCATGATTGTCACCTAGATTCACTATTTTATTAGCAGTTAGAAATTGTTATTTAATAATTCTCCCATTTCCTCTGCATTGATTAGCTGGTATTGTTCTACAAAAAAAAAACATTCCCTCATCAAACATTTGGTTACCCTGAAATAGTTTGTATGTGAAAGAGAGGACATGTGATGGATTTTTTTTTTCCTTTTATCTACCAATTTTCAGAATGAGTTAGTGACCAATGAGTTTTTTTACCATTATGAACATGAGTTTTATTTATTTGTTTAGTTATTTATTTTGAGACAGAATCTCACTCTGTTGCCCATAATCTAGATGCTAAGGGTTCTGATTGCTACTGGATTTCCATTGCCTCTAAGCTTTATCAGCTAGGTCCAAGCTAGAAATACGTAAGTGTATTGTGGCTACATTAAAAGAAGACTTTTATCTGTTAGCGGTACATACTGCAATAACTATTAGTGATACACGGAACAAGAGCATGGATTTGTTTTTAAATACCCTAACTAAAAACTAGAAGTAGAAGAATGAAAAAAAATAAACTTGGAAAATGTTAAAGATGGATGATGGATGCATGGAAGTTTATTATACTATTAACTCTACTCTTACTGGATGTTTGAAAATCTCCATGATAAAAAACTTAAGAAAGGGATAATATCTCACAAACACACAGACACACACACACATACATGCAAATATACACCTGCCTTTTCACTTCTTTGCTCTTTGATTTTATGTACATATGTACATAACCACTTAATTACTCAACTCTCCATGTATGTTGATACAAGAAAGAATATAGAGGATATACGATGTGACTATTTAAATTTCAAAAAGGAGAAATCCCTATTATACGTTAATCAATTGTGAGCCTGGTTCCTTTCAGTCCTGTAGTTTGTAGTTCAACTTCTTTCCCCCATGACATCAAATGCCCCCCGAAGTTTCTCATCATTCGTGTTCATCACCACAGTCCTTTAGACATGCTGCATACAGGTACATCCTCCTCAAGGGGGCAGGACCCAAATCCTTGTGCCATCAACCCCTGGCACTCCTGTGGTTGTACAGCTCTTTCAGGTCCATTTTTCTCTTTATTTCTAAATATATTTTTTAGTTCCTTCCTTACATCAATTATTTCTTTCCTTCCTCCCTTCTTTCTTTCTTTTCTTTCTTTCTCGTTCTCCTTCCTTCCTTCCTTGCTTCCTTCCTTCCTTCTTTCTTTCCTTCCTTCCTTCCTTTTTCTTTCTTTCTTTGCTTTCAACAGAGTCTTGTTTTGTTACCTAGGCTGGAGTGCAGTGTGGCACAGTCATGTCTCACTGCAGCGTCAACTCCTGGGCTCAAGTGATCCTCTCACCTCAGCATCCTGAGTAGCTGGGACTATAGGTGCACACCACCACACCCAGCTAACTTTTTAAAAAATTCTTTTGTAGAGATAGGATCTTGCCATGTTGCCCAGGCTGGTCTCGAACTCCTGGGCTCAAGTGATCTTCCCACATTAGCCTCCCAAAGTGCTGGGAATACAGTCATAAGCCAACTTGCCTGGCCTAATATCTTTCTTAAGATAAGACCAGTCTGGATCAGAGATGAAAAAAGCAATAAACATTTATCAATATATGCTGTGTCACTGTGCTGGCCACTAGATATGCAAACATAAATAAAACTCAATGCCTGCTCTCAAGGACATTATAGTGGGAGAGAACGATATAAACACATAAGTGCGTTACTGAGCCTTTAAGTCCCTCAGAAGTTAGTGGAAGAGAAAAAAAGGTTCAATACAGGTAAGTATACGTTTTACATCAGGTGTTCATGTACAGGGATTTCAAGCCACAAAAAAGGAGCAATCAATTCTGGGGAAACCCAGAAGAGAAAGCCTAGAGAGAAGAGGTAGCATGTGAATTCCCCAGACAATGAAGGGGCCTGGAGTCAAGGGAAGAGGGAGGAGATATTTAGGGACAGGAAAAAGTAGATGTACAAAGGCCAAAGAGTGTGAATGGGCAGAGGAGGATGTAAGGGAGAGGACTTGGTTTTCTGCTTTGTACAGTAACAACATATGCCTGTAACTCTGGGCCCTGCAGGCCAAATGCAGCCTCTACTTGGTTTTTGTAAATAACACTTACTGGAACACTGCCATGCCTGTGGGTGTGCAGATTGTTCATGGCTACTTTTACACTAAAAGGCAGAGTTGTGTAGTTGCAACAGAGACCTTTTGGTCTTACAAGGCTGGTTTATGTACTTTCTAGCACTTTACAGAAAATGTTTGCCAACTCTCTCTCTCTCTAAAGCTATAGTTCTCAAACTTTAATGTGCATACAAATCACCTAGGAATCTTGTTTAAATGCGGATTGTGATTCAGTAGGACTGGGTGGGCCTAAAGTTCTGAAATTCTAAGAGTTCTGAAGTTCTAAGATTCCTCCTTCCTTCACCTTTTGTGATGATCCAGGTAATGTCAGTGTTGCTAGATGGCTTGACACACTTTCAGTAGCAAGGATCTAGAGAAACTCTGGATCCTCAGGGCTTGTTCCTCCAGAATAGCAATCCAGTAAGGGGCATCTGAGAGTTGAGAATAAGGGGAGAGCTGAACTCATGGCTAGACACAACTTGGCTTACTAAAGTTCAGAGATGAAAAGCCTCATTTCAGTAATTACAGTTTAGTTTTTTAGAACAGCTGTATAAATACCAAATGGCTATTCATCATATCTTTCTTCTTCCTCAAAACAAGGGTTATACCGTAGACACCCTAGGACTTGCCTCTATTCTTTGTGTCTACATTTCTATTCCTTTTAGCTAAAGATCTAATTGGTAGGCTACATAAGGCTCCCACAAGTTCCTCATCCCCATCGAGCCACCACCATCTACATCCTCCTCCTATCTGCAATTAAATGTGATCAAACACATTTCCAAATGTGGTATCAAACTGAAAGAACCTCTTGCAAAACACAAGAAGAACAAATTCAGTGGGTCTCTGCCTTGAACCAACAATTATAAGAATAATGCCAATTTCCTCCTCCCCCTCCCCAAATCCTTATCACATTGATGGAAAATAAGAAAACGCACCTGAATGACTTAACATATGCTTTGCTTATGTCAGCTTGTCATTTTGAAGGTTGGAGTTGGGAACGCCCTCACCCCTCCTTTTATTTGTTATTTAGAGGATTAGAACTAATTCATCTGGCAGACCTTGAGTTTGAGAGAAAATTTTGAATCATCTGGTATTCAAATGTGTTTATTCTTGGCAAAGAAGAATTTCCTGATTTTGCACCAAATAAATAAATGAACAAATAAATAAATGAGGCTTATGTAAAAAGAACCAAGCTTACAGGGCACATTGGACATCAAATAGCTCTCAAAAGAGTAACATTTACATGAATTAACACCAAATGACTCAGAAACATAAGGATTGAATTCCCACAGGAAATTTACACATGGACATTGTACTTAATGTATTCAATGGCGTGCATGTTACAATTTATCTGGAAAAATCATTTATTACTCATCGTGACTCCACAGGGTTCTTCGTGCTCCATGAGCCCTGGGCCAGGAGTCAAGGCTGAAAGTCCCTGCTCTGCTAACTCAGCAACATTTCTCAAGTCACTTAAACTCGTCACCTCGATATTTGCGTTGTGCCCAGTAAGGCCCATGCTAGCTCTGAAAAGCAGAATTAGGTGAATTTGCCCAAGATCACCCAAAGCTGAGCAGAACCAAGAGTCAGCCTTGGCCTTTTGATCCCAAGTGAAAGGCTTTTTGCAATTTTTTGAGCTGCCCCTGTAAGTAAAAACCATGTCTTTATTATCTTGTTCTTGAAAGACCAGTAAAAAAGGTACCCAGTCCAATTTGACCTAAACCTATAACCCCAAACATTTTTCAGTTGCTATGCTATTTTCTGCTGTAACATTTGGAAATCACTATTGTGGAGATTTGTGTGAGCTCCCAGGCAGCGCTGAAGATTTGTAGTTCCTTCCAGTTAATGGAGAATTTGCTAGATAAACCTGGCTTGTGTTGTCAATATTTTTCGAGCTTTTCTGAGAGGGACTGCAGAAACTAAATGTGACCATGTGACAACACATGCCTTCTGTGTTGCTTATGAATCTCCACCGTGCTCTTTACAAGTGTGTAAAGAGGAGGACCAGGGGCGCTGCGTGGAAAAACCAGGAAGGTCTGCTCCAGCATTCTTGGCCCAACGTTATAATAAAGCTAAGGAGGTTAGGAACACGAATGGGAAGATGGGGACACTATAATCAGTCCATTGAAGCTTTTACAAATATTTCTCAATTAACTCAAAATAAAGAGAACAAAAGGCTGTGAGCAGGTAAGGGCAGATTCATCTCCTCTAGAAGAAGGGCTACCGTAGCCCATCGAACACCTTTGTACCACTTAGGAAAAGGTGCCTCTCTGCAGGACACAGGGCTTAGTGAGCAAAGCATAGGCTGGATTTCAGTCATACCTTCTGCAGAACCTCCTGATACAAGGAAAAAATATTTATACCCTGCTTACGATGTGCCTGAGACTGTTCTAAATGTAAGCATATATATTAATTATGTAATCTTCATAATGATCCAATGACCAGACTATTATGTACAAAAGTAACAATACTCAGGTTAATATCATTATCATTCCCAGTTTACAGATAAAGAAGCTGAGACAAGAAGCAGTTAAGAGACTTATCCAAGGTCGCACAGCTAGTAAACTGCAGAGTTAGAAATCTGCTCTAATGAGAAAATGATCTTCTAAACTTCAGCTTACTCCTGCCTTTGGAGCATTAAAAACACATCACTGTCTTCTCAGGGAGGACTTCTCCTGCAAGGCCAAGCATGCAGATATTTAATCTGTATTGTCTGACTTAAAAGACTGTACACAGACTAAGAAGCATTGATTCCAAAATACACATCAACAAAAAAAAGTCCTAAACTTGCATCATCCTTAGGTAAGTATATTAGTCAAAGTTCTCCAGAGAAACAGAACCAGTAGGATAGATATAGATATAGATTAGATATAGGTAGGTTTATTATGAGGAATTGGCTCATAGGATATGGAGGCTGAGAAGTCCCATAATTTGCATCTGTAAGCTGGAGACACAGGAAAGCTGGTGGCGTAATTCAGTCTGAGCCTAAAGGCCTGAGAACCAAAGGTGCTGATGGTATAAATCCCAGTACAAAATCAAGAGAAGATGAGATGAGATGTTTCTAGCAGTTGTGCAGGAAATAAAGAGGGGATGCAAGTTCCTCCTTCCTTCACCTTTTGTTCTTCTCAGGCCCCAAACAGATTGGATGATACTCTTCCACGCTGAGGAAAGAAATCTACATTACAGAATCCACTCAAATGCTAATCTCGTCCCAATGCACCCTCACAGACACATGTAGAAACGGTGTTTACTCTGAGCACCCTGTGGCCCAGTCAAGTTGACACGACACATAGAATTAACCCTCATGATAAGGTTCACAACAAAGCAAAGCCATTGGGGTGACCGCTGAAAGGGTTGCAGTAGAATGACTTGTATGTATGCTTGTTGTGTGATTGTCACACCTGTAATGTGGGTGCTTCAGGGTATATGAAGCCATTGCCTTCTGAAGGTCAGTATATGATCAACAAAGGCTTTGATGGCCATCCAGGGTGACAGTAGAGTAGTTTTTGAGATAATGCCTCTCCTGGAAGAAAATACTGTTAAACACTATGTCGGTGAACTGGATGCACATCATCCAGCCCTAATCAATTGAGAATAGAGACCACCTACTGTATACCGGAGCATCCAGCATACAGAACTGGAATGTGCCCAATCACAGCCGTCTGTTTGCTCCTGAGCCTGTTCCACCCCCATCATCCTGCCCTTGCCTACAGAACTCTGAAGGGTCCCTAGGTGTGCCCCGGGCTTCCCCATTTGTGTGGCTCTGCGTTTGCTCCCACCTCTTCTTGGATGATCTTCTTGATTGTCCATCTGGCAAGCTACTCCTCCTTTATCAGAGGATTCATGTCCCCACGCTGTGACACTTTCTCTAATTCCCCCAAGATCTTCCTTCCAACATAAGTTCTCAACTGCACTGTGCGCTCACCTTCATAACAGCAATTTAGGCTCAGTGTCCACAATTCAGGCTTTGGAGTTTAATGGAATTTTCTCCCTCCTGGGCTTCTTGACTCTCTGGCATCTGCTGACTCTTCCTCAGATGAAGATGATCAGAGTCCCCCTCTCACAGTGGGGAAGATCAAATGATACACTCACTTAAAAGCTCAGAAAGGCTCCAATATGTGTTTCCCAGTCATATCATGCTGGGTTGCAGTTGTCAGCTAAGTGTTCATTGCTCTTTGAGGCCAAAATCATGCTTTTTCCACCTCAGATTCCAGCGCACTTAGCAAAGTACCTGATTAGGATAAGCCTTCGGTGAATATGTATTAAACAAAGGAATGAATAAACATTAGAGCAGCCAAGAACCTTACAGGGGCTCTTAGCTGATGTTTTGCCATGAGTACAAGGACCCATTTCAAAAATACAATTTGATGGTCCCCACAAAATCATAGCTATTTTTAATATCTGTGGATTGAGAATATAATAAGCTGCTATGGATTTGATGAACTTTTGAAAAAAATCTCTGCTACCCACCAGGGGCTTACAATCCCCAGCTTGGGGCCACACATCTAATTCAACTCCTGTACTTTAACGGTAGAAAAATGTCAACATTGAAATTGAGTATTTCTTAGGTCACAGAACCAAGTGACTGTAGAGTCAGAACAAGAAAGTAAGTCTCTTGAAGCCCTTGCCCTTGCTCTCAGGGAGCTTATCATCTTACAGGGGAACCCCAGCTAGCTCATATATCAGATACTTTGGAAGAAACATAAAGCTCTCTATTACCAAGAGCTGAGTGGTGAGCCAAAAATTGACAAATGAAGTTGGAGCTCAGGCTGGTAATATAGTGGTTGCTCTGGGGATTTTTTAGTGGGCTTCTGACAAATACTGAAAAGTGAATATTTCACTTCTGAAATATTTAGAGCACCAGTGAGCAGCTCAGTGTCACTAAGTTGCCTTGTCCCCCTTTAAACTTCCTTGGGTCCTGAAAGTGTTTATATTATACTTTGAAACTGTTGTCTAAAACAGGAGGAGGTAGATAAAGAGGCGTGAGACAGATTTAGGTGCACCCTTTTCAGTGGACTCCTTTGGAATTTATGACTCCATGCAATCATCACCCGTTTAAAATTTCACCTGTGCCTCTGCTTTTATCAACAGCATTGAAAAGGCACGTGGAGCACTGGGGGTTGTTAATAGTCTGGAGATGTAGTGTGATGGCTCACAGTTTCAATATTTTAATACAGTTCTTGCTTACAGTCATGTTTCTCAAGCAGGCTGGTTTTGCTCCCGTGGAGTGTATTGCAGAGGCTATTGCTGGAGGCGATGAAAATTTTAGGAGGCTATGACAATCATCTGAGCAAGAAATTTGAACCTTGAGTGTGAACCAAGGGAGAGACAGTGGTGCAGACGGGGAAAGGATAGACCTGAGAGAAGAGTAATCTCTCTGAAGAGAACATGGGTCTGTCTTGCCCAGTTGAGTGTGGAAATTGAGAACAAGCGTGGAATAAAAAATAATACCATTGCCCAAGACCACTCAACTCTTTTAAATGTCACCCTAAGTAGGGAAGCCTTGTAGGTCAGGCAACTGGGGAACCCTCGGAGACCCCTTGGCTTTTTTTCTGCATTTACACTCACCTTCCCCAGGTACCCAGTATTTTCTAGGAGCCACCAGAAGTAGCAGGTCTTGTCTTCTTATTCTTTTTTTCTCTGGCTTTCTTAGACCTGATTTGTGACCTTTTTCTCAGGAGCTTTTTGTCCCTGTCAGAGACTTGATGCAGGGCTAGGTCAACACTAACTCGTAATGATATCAATAGCCAACACATATTGAGTATTAAGTATTTTCCATTTATTTTCCTGTTTGGTCCTTAACAAGAACTCTCTGAAACAGATAATATTATTATTCCCATTTTTTTCAGATGGTAAAATCAGCAACACAGAAATGAAGTGTCAAGATTTGAACCTAGACAGTTTGACTTCATAACCTTTACTTCTCTACCCCACCTCTTCCACAAACAACAAGGGATGAATCAGATCCACAATGGCCATTATTCTACTCTCGTATGGGCACTTTCCTCTATCCTTGTAGTAGCTAGGACACTGTTATACACATATCTAATAATTTGAATAGATCACTAGTAAAAGGATACTCATTAAGGCCACATTATTCCCAGAATTTTGAGGTGCAAAGAGCTAACATCTATTGAGTGTTTATTATGCTCCAGGATCACCACATGCTTATGTGCATGCATTCACCTAAACTTCACAGCAACCCTTTGAGGTAGGTACTATGATCACCAAGTCTATTTCATAAATGAGGAAATGGAACTCCAGAGATCGCATGCCAATTCAGGGACAGATTTGGAGATTCATACTCTCAGATTGTCTCTAGAACTCATACTTTTTTTTCTTTTTTTTTTTTTTTTGACAGGATCTCACTCTGTCACTTAGGCTAGAGTGCAGAGATGTGATCTCAGCTTACTGCAGCCTTGACCTTCCTGGCTCAAACGATCCTCCCACTTCTAGCCTCCTGAGTAGCTAGAACTACAGGACCTTTGTGTCCCTGTCAGAGACTTGATACAGGCACACACTACCTGGCTAATTCTTGTATTTTTTGTAGAGAAGAGGTTTTGCCACGTTGCCCAGGCTCATCTGGAACTTCTCAGCTCAAGTGATCTGTCCACATTGGCATCCCAAAATGCTGGGATTACAGGTGTGAGCCACTGCACCTGGCCTAGAATTCATACTTTTAACCATCATTCTGTGCTGTAATACAGGTGTACCCACAAAGAGTTCATAGTCGTATAAAGGAAATTTATGCATAAATAAGAGCCCCAGAATGGATCCCAAAATATATAATATGGGTTTTTATAACCTAAGCAAATGTGGAATTGAAGTGCAAAGATTAGGCAAGATTTGAACAAAGGAAAAGAAAAAAAAGAAAAGCACTCCAGGTATGGAGGTCAGCATGAGAAAAGACAATAGGTAAAAGCAAATTGATTCATTGATTGGCAGGGTCAGAGGTTTCATGTTCGCGGAACAGGCAAGCTGTGGCTCAAAAGGAAATTTGGAGCTTTTGATTATCAGGCTGTGAAATGTGATCTTTTATCATGTAGATTTTTAAAAAAGAAATGAAATGGCGTAGTGAAGGTCATTATCTAAGGGGGATATTGAGCCTCAGTTTCTTCATCTGTAAAATGGAGCTATTAAGAGTACCTGACAGGTAGTCTGGGCGAAGGTGTGTAAAGTACGAAGCACAGTGCCAGGAATAGCGTAAGTTTGCAACAAATGGTAGTTATCTGACTGTGGACTAAGAGCTGAATTGTGTAGGGAAGAACTTGACAACAGGGAGCTGCGTGAAAGGCGGCAGATGTAAAAAAGGAAGGACAGTGGGGGCTCTTGTTGCCATGGTGAATATTAAGGAAGAGGGCGATGCTGTATGCTGAGTGACTCTCAAGTTTCCAGCCTAACTGGCACTCATGGAAGAGGTGGAGAATTTAAGATAGAGTGAGCTGATTTTTGTGGAAGGGTTGCATTTGGCGCTGAACCTGCAGGGACAATGGTGATAGCTAGGAGGCGAGTGGAGATAAGAAGAGCTCTTTAAAATGTCACTATGTGTGGTCCTGAGTTTGGAGTCATCTATGTAGATGTCACATACCTCCTTGCTCCACTCCCTGGAATACTCTTCCCCCAGACATGCCCGTGATTGGCTCTTCTTATCATTCAGGGATTAGCTCTAGTGTCACCTCTTAAGACCCTCTTCCCTCTCCATTTCATCACCCCAATTTGTTTACTTCATAACGTCATCACTCTTCTTCCCCCAGGAGAGTGTGAGCTGCAAGCAGACAGGAGCTTGGTCCTGTTGCCCACGGAATCTCTAGGGCCCAGAAAAGTGTCTGGAACACAGTAGGACTCGCGATGTCCTAAGTAAATGGTACTAAACACTATTAAACTCAGTAAATAGACATACACTTGAATACGTGAATAAATAAAGCTATGATGTCCCATGCCAGCAGAGAGTGAGAAAGAAGGGCAAAAGGTCAGGATCCAACCCCTTGGAAATCTCCACGATGCAGGAGGCAGGTTTGGGATAAAGGAAGAGTAAAAATGAAGTCAGAGAGGTGGGAAATGAACCAGGGTACAGAAGTGTCCTGAAGACCAAGGCAGAAGGTGTGTTAAAGACAAATTCAACATGGTCAAATGCTGCAGGAGAATTAAAGACAATGAACGATAAGAACAGGGCATTTGACTGGGGGCTGGGGCTTCGTTCACTGTGAGGATGCACCCGAGGCTGAGAGGGACAGGGGGATGGAGGGAAGCAGGTGCTACTACCCACCTATTGCCCATTGTTAGGAGTCTTCGCATGGGAAACAGGGTGAAAAATAAGATAGTAGCTTAAGGAAGGAGGAATGAAGATGAAAGTGGCTGCTTGATTGGAGAGAACTTGGCCTGAGAAGGGAGAGATTGGAGATGATTAAGAAATAGGGACGATGATAATAAGAAGAGGACTTTGCCCCCAAGAAGAGGGAAGGCGGATTGAGCAGATCCATGAAATTGACTCCCAGATCCACATAGTGACTTTTTATGACTTGTGGCAATTTATCTCATTACCATGCAGTCACAGCTTCAAACCTATGAAAAGAAATATAAAAATACAAAAAAAAGAAGAAGAAGAATGCCAACTAATGCCTTGGCAGTGTAGAAAGAAATGTTTTCATCTGTTTAAAATCAATTTAGGGGCAAAATAAGAGCATCTGAGGCAGAATGTGAAAATAATCAGAGAGATGAAAATGGTTAAAATTTTAAAAAGTAAAAACAAAAAAAGAAAAGCAATGTATGAGTACTGTCATCACCATAGAGACTAGCCCCCAGGTTGGAGCAAACCCTATCGCCCTTCTGGAAGGGTGGCTGTCTACTCTGGAAAATTGGATGGTTTCCTGGCTTCTTACCCTCCTTGTGAGGTAGTTGTGTGGGTTCAATAGAAAAAATAATATTCTGTAAAGCACTTAGAAGTATGTTATAAATGAGTGTGAGCTGGTGTAGTAATGCTTGAAAGTGATTTTATTATCCCAGATATAACACGACAGCTTTATGTGCACCCATGGAGAAGTGATTAATGGGGCTCCAGCACCTTCCTGCAAAGGTCTTTAAAAGCACCTGTTTGGAGGAGGTGTTAGGCCAGCAGGAAGTTTAATGATTCTAGTGATGCTGCTGCCCTGGGGGAAGTAATCAGAGGCTGCCAGCAGCATGGTCCCCACAGGTAGGCTGAGATAAGTCAGAGTTATGGAGTTGGGAGCTTGACAAGAGGATCCCCCCACCCCAGCCCCTGCCTGAGGGAGAGCCAGCTGGATTGTAGCATTCTCAGGTATATCAAAACAAGAATGTCAGGCTTTTTTTGTTTGTTTGTTTTTGAGACAGAGTCTCTTTCTATCACCCAGGCTGGAGTGCAGTGGTGCCATCTCGGCTCACTGCAACCTCCACCTCCTGGATTCAAGCAATTCTCCCTGCCTCAGCTTCCCAAGTACCTAGGATTATAGGTGCCCGCCACCACGCCCAGCTAATTTTTGTATTTGTAGCAGAGAGAGGGTTTTGCCATATATGCCAGGCAGGTCTCGAACTCCTGACCCCAGGTGATCTGTCCTCCTTGGGCTCCCAAAGCGCTAGGATTACAGGTGTGAGCCACCGTGCCCGTCCAAGCTTTTTTTTTTTTTTAAAGGTAGAAAGTCTGAAAAAATAAAACCACACAGAAGAGAAAAAGAAATACCCCAACTCCAGGCCCCAGGAGACCTGAGACCTGAGTCCTGAGTCCTGAGTCCTGAGTCCTGTGCTGTCTGGGGATGGCTCAGGTCCTGTTTTCTCCTTCTCCCTGCGGGTCTGAGAGCTGGAACAAGTTGATAAGATCTGGCTCTGGGACTGAAGGATACTGGCATCTTGATAGTGCTCACATCCCGTTCTTTATCTTCTCCTACTCTTTTTCCTTTCCTCCTGCATACATATCATAATTCTCTTTTCACTAGTACCAGTCCTTTGGCCTTACTAGGTATTGTCTTATAAGATTCCAGTATATGTATTTCTTCATCTGCCCACTCACATGCACACACACACACATGCCCATACATACACATACATATACACACAGTCACACATGTACCCACATACACACACATACACAAATATACACACATAACCACACACATGTAGCCACATACACACATGCATACATATATACACAGTCACACATGTACCCACATACACACACATACACAAATATACACACATAACCACACACATGTACCCACATACACACATGCATACATATACCTATGCAAACACATATACATACATACAAACATGTTCTCCAGCGTATCATAAGCACTTAAGGGCAGGGACCTGACCCATACATTTTTATTTCCCAATATCTGTCCCACTACTATGCTCAGTCAATATTTATGGTTTTTATTTCATTTTTCATGTCTCTCTGTACATTTGTAACTTAGCACAAACTTTGGTTGAAGGGATCATATACACACAGAGATGGGCATCATGGTTCAGTCCAGACAAGTACATAATTGGTTTACTGAATTTTTTTTTTTTTTTTTAGACGGAGTCTCACTCTGTTGCCCAGGTTGGAGTGCAGCGGTGCAATCTCGGCTCACTGCAAGCTCCGCCTCCTGGGTTCATGCCACTCCCTTGCCTCAGCCTCCTAAGTAGCTGGGACCGCAGGCGCCTGCCACCACACCCGGCTAATTTTTTTGTATTTTTAGTAGAGACAGGGTTTCACCATGTTAGCCAGGATGGTCTCGATCTCCTGACCTCATGGTCCGCCCGCCTCAGCCTCCCAAAGGGGTGGGGTTACAGGCGTAAGCCACCGCGCCCGGCCTTTGGAATTTTGTATGCGTCAAAATCATGGCAGGCATCAATGCATCATTCATTCATTCATTCACTCATTAAACACCACTGAATACCTGGTACTGTGTACACTATACACACACACTCACAAACACACACAAACACATACACACACACAAATCCTTGCTCTCTAGTAACCCAATTTTGAAAAAGACTAATCATAAATAAACACTTACAAGATGGCTTACTTTAATAGGAGAGCTGGATAAAGGAACCAGTGGAGTTTTCTCGATAATTTAGCAATCTGCTAAATTATTGGAGTCGAGTCCTAGAGGATGAACAGGACCATCTACCTTGTGGAAAGCCTTCTTTGTGCCTAGTAATGCTAACACCATCCCTCTTCAACCCACTCAGAGACAGTGCAGAGCTGAGGGCACCACTGATGCTTGCTTCTGCCTACAGCCTAGAGTGAGGTTGCCACACATCCCTGCGGAATGCAGGGAAGGTCCCGTGGAACTGCCTTGCGTCGGACCTAGACCGCCCCATGATAAAGAAATGCTTTCATCCAGCTCCAGAGTGGCCTTTCCATGTGCATCTGGTACTGTTTGAGAAAACTTCTGGGGGAAGGCTGTCCTCAAGCATCTGTCCACATCCCTTGCAGGCTGTCAGAATACTGATTAATTTATTAACGTGGGTTTTCCTGTAGGCAATTATCATTTGACCCACTTAAAGGGAAATGCCTGCCTGCCTTTGATCAAAGAATTCCTATTATCTGGAAAATTGGTTTTCTAGTAAGCAGGGATAGAGGATGTTTGAGGCTTTGGCTATTTTTTCCCCCTTTGAAGTTGGAAATTGCAATCTGGCTTTAGAAATAGCAAAGATGCATTTTCTTTCTGTCTCTCTGGCCGTCCCCTTACAGGGTTTGTTTAATGAACCATTTCACCAGAAGGATTATAGTTTGAAAGTATCCTCACAATGACACAGCCACTTGCATGTCGCTTTATTCCTAGAAAAAATACTGTTCTTTATTTACACCCTTACAAACGTGGAAATCAAGGGGGCAGTTCTCATCTGATGCTAGCGATGGCAGGCACACGGAATAAGATCTGGGAACACAATTGTCCATTTAAACCCTGTCCAAGAGGCCGGACACAGTGGCCCACGCCTGTAATCCTGGCACTTTGGGAGGCCGAGGCGGGCGTATCACCTGAGGTCAGGAGTTCAAGACCAGCCTGGCCAACATGGTGAAACACTGTCTCTACTAAAAATACAAAAATTAGCCAGGCCTGGTGGATGGCACTTGTAATCCCAGCTACTCGGGAGGCTGAGGCAGGAGAATGGCTTGAACCCAGGAGGCGGAGGTTTCAGTGAGCTGAGATCACACCATTCCACTCCAGCGTGGGTGACAGGGTGAGACTCCATCTCTAGAAAACAAACAAAAACAGAAAACAAAACAAAAAACCCTGTCCAAGGAAGCTTCATAACTGACTCTACCTTTATCTCAATATATTGGCTCATTGTTGCCTTGTTATGAATGAAGCAAACCACAAGTGCATATAATCCTCATGTTAAAGTTGTTGTTTGATTGTTAAAAAAAAAAGGCAACTTAAGAAAAAACATTCAAAGGTCACAGACTTACACTTTCCTGAAAATGAAGGAAAACTTTTAAAAGTTAAAAGGTCACTCTCAATGAGAGCAATTCCCATATCAGAGAAAAGCATTTCCATCATACTTTTTATTATTATACACATTCTCACTTGTTTCTACTAACCGCTTTTAATATTTTTTCATATTAAATGTTCAAAATAACTCTTTGGAGTCATATTTTATGCCCATTTTACAGAAGAGTTAATTGAGACAAGTAGAGAGATTAGATAAGTTCCCCAAGGACATGCACCCAAAGGATTCGCTGAACTTGAACTCTCAAATGTCACATCTGCTATTCCCACATCAGTGCATGGTTGGGGAAGAAAAGGAAACACCACAACCCAACAACACAGGACCCAACAGAGAACCTTCCGAAGGAAACCCACTCACAGCTCATGGAGACACCTGATGCTGAAAGGAGAGAAGACAGGGGAGAAGTGCTCTTTCGTTTTTTGTGTCTGATACTTCCTTTCTGCAGGGACTTAATGATTAGGTGGCAGGTGGAATCTTAAGGAATGCAGTTCCAAAAAAAAAAAATGCCTTTGCTGTCACTTCAAAAAACAGTAGCAAGAGGGATGGGAGGTGTGAATCATGAAGCAAAAAAGTTTGATTCCAAGCACGGGATCCCAACAGAAGGTGGTGGTCGGTTTCAGAGCAGCAGCGTGCAGCTCCAATGTGATAAAATGGCTCCTCCTCCCCCTCTTCCTCCTCTTCCCCTTGTCCTCCACCCCCTCCTCCTCCTTTTCTTTTTAATGAGCTGGAGACTTTCCCAGCCAGCCATGTGCTGTTCCACTCAGTTGGCCAGCACCAAGGGGCCTCCTTTTACTTTACTTCAGCCAGTCCCTCCCAAGTTTGGGAGAATCAAGGCCCCTTCCTGTGCTCCTCAGGTTCCACTCCAATTGTTCTTCTCCTCGGGGAATCCTCTGCTCCTTTGAACATGCACCAAAAGGAAGAATGGAGGGACTTTCATGCTAAAATGCCAGGCACCTGAAGACAGTAAAGGGAGGCTTAACCTTATAACAGGCTTAATACGTTGCAGCTTTCTGCTGAGTCCTTATAGGCATGGAATGCAGCTCACATGCCCCTGTTCTTCATTTCCCCAAATCTTACTTGCGAACTGAAAACCTGCCGGCTAAGCTAAGCACTCATAGCCTCTTTCCTCCATCCTGTCACTGACCCTTATCATCTAGCAGCGTCTATCCATGGAACATCACCTTCTCAGTCAGAAAAGCTGGAAACCCCCAACATGGAGCATGACATTCGCTCTTTGTGGTTTTCTTACTCATGCCCTCATTTGCCAAATGCTTTCAACAAACATTTATAGAGTCCACTATGTGCCAGGCATTACTCTAGGTGCTCAGGATACACAGATGGGTACAACACTATCTCTAATCTCAGGAAGCATATTGTTATGGTCTGAATGTCCCCCAAAGTTATGGGTTGAAACTTAATCTCTATCATAGTAGTATTGGCCAGGCACGGTGTCTCACACCTGTAATCCCAGCACTTTGGGAGACCAAGGCGGGTGGATTGCCTGAGCTCAGGAGTTCGAGACCGGCCTGGGCAATATGATGAAACCCTGTCTCTACTAAAATACAAAAAAAAAATTAGCCGGGCATGGTGATGGGCACCTGTAGTCCCAGCTACTCGGGAGGCTGAAGCAGGAGAATTGCTTGAACCCAGGAAGCAGAAGTTGCAGTGAGCCAAGATTGAGCTACTGCACTCTAGCCTGGGCAACAGAGTGAGACTCCATCTCAAAAAAAAAAAAAAAAAAAAAAATGGCTGGGTGAGGTCTTTGGGGAAGTGATTAAGTCATGAGGGCTCTGCTTCCATAAATGGATTAGTGCCTTAGAATGGGGCTGGAAGGAAGCAGCTGAGGCCATTTTTGCTCTTTTGCCACATGGGGATACAGCGTTCATTCATCCCCTTTTGCCCTTTTGCTCCTTCTACGACATGAGCATGCCTAGCTGGTGCCATCTATTAGGAATGGGCCCTCACCAGACACCAAACCTGTGGGTGCCTTGATTTTGGACTTCCCAGCCTCCAGAACACTGAGAAATATATTTATATTCTTTATAAATTACCTAGTTTCAGGTATTTTGTTATAGCAGCACAAATAGACTAAGACATGTATCATTTAACAGAAAAGTTTTGAATGGAAATCCACATTTTAATAAAGTATACCTATGTTAGCATTTATAATTAATCATAATTTTTTAAAACCTCAAGTCATGAAAATTAGTTTTATTTAACTCTTTTAAATGCCCATTAATGGAACAACTTTTAGATTTTCTAAATAAAATATGTGTTTTTTTAAATGTTTTGCACTCTAAGAAAGAAACCATTCACTTATCTAGAGAACACACCCATCCAAAATGACTTCATATTAGTCAGTTTTGCTGCAGTACAAACAACTCCAAAATCTCAGTAACTTGCAATATGTATTTCTCTCTCACGTTATATGTGTGCTTGGTGGTCACCTATGGCTCAGTCCCATGGGTCTTCTGATTTCAGAACAGCTGCCAAAGGTATCTGAGAGGGAAAGAATAAGAAAAGTGATGGAAATGTGCAATGCTTCTTGGAATTTTCTTCTTTGATGAAATGTATGTCATACCCAATTATGTTTCATTGCCCAAAGCAGGTTACAAGATCAAGGTCAAAGTCAATGGGGTAAGGCCAGGCATGGTGGCTCACACCTGTAATCCTAGCAATTTGGGAGGCCAAGGTGGAAGGATAACTTGAACTCAGGAGTTCAAGACCAGTCTGGGCAACATAATGAGACCCTGTCTCTAGAAAAAATCAAAATAATTAGCCAGGCATGGTGGCTTGAGCCTTGGGAGGCTGAGGTGGGAGGCTGAGGCAGGAGGATGGTTTCAGCCAGGAGATCAAAGCTGCAATTAGCTGTGTTTATGCCACTGCACTCCAGCTGGGGCTACAGAGCGAGACCCAATCTCAAAAACACACAAATAAAATCAGTGGGATGGAGTACACTCTTCCCACAGACAAGGGTGAGAGAGGAAAGTGAATGTTTACTTCAGTAAGATGAATGAGCCTCTATCTCTGCCTGTCTCAAAGACATAGAATGATTCAACATGTCCTAATCAATGCGTGCTGGGAGAACTACAAATGTAAAGAAAACATGTTATTTGGGAATGTATAGGCTTGGAAAGGAATTAAAATGATTTTGTCGGCCTTCTCTCAAATTTCAGTGACATTTGGGAGTAGTTTGGCAGCAAGAAAGATCTACCAATGAGCTAACCAGTCTTTCTTTAGCTAGTGTTTCAGTGTTATTTTTTTGGCCATTTTGATGCATTTCAAGTTTTTATGTTCATAGATTCATTTAACAAATGATGTAACTGAAAGATGGACTTGAAATTTGATTAGAGCAAAAATCCTCCAAGGTTCAATTTTCTTCTTCTTTCTTCTTTCTTCTTCTTCTTCTTCTTCCTCTTCTTCTCCTCCTCCTCCTTCTCCTTCTTCCTTTTTTTTTTTTTTTTTAAACGACTCCCAAACTGGCAGAGATAGATTGGAGTCAAGCTATCTGGGGGCTTGTAAACATGTAGTCCCACCTGGGAAACCACATCCTGGCAGTTTACCTTCACTGCTACTACCTGGTCCAGGGCACCCTCAAATCACCTGTGTTCTGCCATGGTCCACTAACACAGGGGTCCCCAACCCCCGGGTCGTGGACTGGTACTGGGCCATGGCCTGTTAGGAAGTGGGTGGGGCAGCAGGAGATGAGCGAGGGCTAGTGAGCATTCCCGCCTGAGCTCCATCTCCTACCAAATCAGCAGCAGCATTAGATTCTCATAGGAACGTGAACCCTATTGTGAACTGCGCACGTGAGGGATCTAGGTTGCACTCTCCTTATGAGAATTTGACTAATGCCTGATGATCTGAGGTGGAGCAGTTTCATGCCGAAAACATCCTCGCCCCCAAGTTCATGGAAAAATTGTCTTCCAGGAAACTGGTACCCTGGTGCCAAAAAGGTTGGGGCTCGCTGTGCTAACAGGCCTCCTACTATGCTTTCATTCCCTGCAGTCCCCAGTACTGCAGCCAGAGGGAGCCTTTTCAGTTGCAAGGCGGACTATGAGCCTCCTCTCTTCAAAACCCTGAAATGGCTTCCACTTCACTCAGAGAAAAGCCAACCCGCCCCCATTATGTGCAGGTCATACCTGTTCTGGGTCCTGATTCCCCATATTTCTGTCCTTCATCCACCCCTGACTCGCTTGACCCAGCCTCATGGGCCACCTTGTTCCTGAACACAAACACATCAAACACATTCCCTTCTTAGGGCCTTTGCTCTAGGCGTTCGGTTTCCCTTTGCCTGGAGTGATCTTCCTTCAGATATCTGCTTGGTTAAATCCCTCACTTCATTTAAGTGTTTACTCAGATCTCCCCTTCTCAGGGATATACATGTGGATCACCATTTTTAAAAACGAACACTGCCCCACCACACTTCTGGTCCTTCCAACTCTGTTTTACTTGTTCTTTTTTCAGTATCTCTATATTACCTTTTAACCTTCCTAATAATTTGCCTATTATATTTACTGTGTAATATCTATCTTCCCCTCACTGATGTAAGTTTGATGAGACCAGATACCTTTGTCTATTTTGTTCACTCATGTATCCCAGTTGCTGATAATAATGCTTGGGACAAAGTAATGCTCAATAATCATTCCTTAAATGACCAGCTGAGCCCTGATCTTCATTCCTTGAAATATAAACTTGTAAAAAAAGATTTTTGTAGGTTGCTAGGCTACTTCCTTTATCATTTTACTTGCATTTCAAATGAAAGTTAAATTTTTTTTCTCATTCATCATGTTTGAGGAGGTAGTAATTTGCAAAGTAGTATCAATTTTTCTTGGGGGGATAATATCACCATTTTTAATATGATCATGTAACATTTGGGTGATCAGTGTGAAAAGCTAGTCAGTACTCCTACCATTTTTTTTTACAAATTATGTTAACATGCTAAAGTGGGTAACATGATGTAGTTTAATCCATATCTTGTCCCTGACAGCCCCTTTTCCGTGAGTTATTCAAATGTGAGTTGGAAGTCAAACATACAAAGGAGACCTCCCTAAATGTTCTGACTTTCTTATAAATATGGTGCTGTCATTACTTAGATTGAGACATGTTTGCATTTTTATCATGAGGAAACAAAGAAATGAAGTTTGAAGATGCTATGTGACTCAAAGCCTCAAGATGGATAAACCTTACCAATGGCTACTCCAGGTTACTTCTGGTTTTCATGAACTCACTTATGCTCCTGTCAAAAAGCCTTTATGATCCCCCTCCTCCTCTGACCAAGTTCCACAATGTTTGGTGCTTCCATTAGAGTATTTGTGCCCTGTGGTAGCATTTTTCAGAGTCTGTGTTTTATGAACATGTAACCTATCCTTGTTTACATTATGAACAGCAAACCAGAATAAGTCACTTTTACTAACAGCCTTACAAGGTTTTGTACATAGTAACAGTTTACTCTGAGATCAAACCAGCCTTGAATTCATTTCACCTACATTCTGTGTAACTCTCAGCAAGTCTTTTAAACGCCCAAGCTCCAGTTTCCTTATCTGTAAAACAGGGATAATAATAGGGCCACCATAGAGGGTGCTGAGGATGATTGAATGAGATAATACTTGTAAGGCTGCTATTAGCAATTCCATCAATCATTCCCAAGTAAAGTGTAAAGGTTCTACATTAAAGAGACATGCATTCCCTAGGAAGCTACTAGCTTATGCTAAAAATCCATATTTAATACATTAGTGATATTGTGCTCCTCATGAACTCTCAACCTTTCCAAATATGTTACTAAAAGCTTTGAGCTCCTCTTGTCTTGGGATACCCAATGATATGAGACAGCAAGCAGTTTCACTCAGTTTGAATTTTCTTGTCAAAATTCGTAGTCTTTGCCAAAGGAGGACATTAAAGAAAATTATCCTCTTTGTAAAAACTGAAAGGCCTGGGACAGTGTCCAGCTCATTTATCATACAATGCATTTAGTGAGGGAGGGTTTCACTTTATGTAAGTAATAAGCTACACATGCATAACTTCTTTTGCTTGGATAGTGGCTCTTCAGACCTGGATTTAATTAATACAGAGCTGCATCTGGGTCTGTCAGAGGGAAGTGATGAAACATACGCTCCCATATGGATTTATAGCTAGTTAGAGTTTTTGCAGACTCAACTGCAAAATCTTCAAGCGAAGGACCGAGTTTGGTTGTTGACATAATAATATGGTCTTATCTAAATGTTTTGTTTTCTTTGACTATAACTTGAGTTAATGGTCAAGCAGAGCAAAAACATTGGCAGTTACTGATTCAGACACATTTATAGACATCTTTTTCCCCCCATGGAAAAAAAGGAACAGAACAGTGCAACTGAAGTTCATTCTTCCATTTATTCAGAGATGTGAAGACATGTAAGACATTGTCATAGCTCATGCTCCAGGAACACACAATGTGGAGTAAAGGAGGATGGCAGACATGGAAACTATTATCTCTGATTAAGCAGCATAAGTTCCACAAGAGATATCATCATTGATAGGGAGAATAGACTTCATCAGAGTGCTCTTTGGCATTGGGGCAGTGGGGCTCTGAGGAACACCTTTACTTGGACCAGACCTTGAAGTAATGGTGGGATTTCCAGGACAAAGAGGAAGATAGAGACCTCCAGAGAAGGAAGAGAGAGAGAGAAAGCACACAGTCTTGGCAATATAGTGTCCAGGCAACACTCGAAAGTAAAGTGGCTGAAGGTGAGATTGGAAAGAAAGGAAAATCATTTTATTTGAACCCCTACTATGTGCTGGGCCATGTGAGACACTTTACAAACATGACTCTCTGATTCTTCCTGTAAGCCATATCTTACAGGCATGAAAACCAGGGCTCCAAGAGGTCAAAAGGGTCACATAGACAGATGCGTACAAAGCTGAAGCCAAACACAGCTGTGCAGCTCCAGGGCGTATGCACTTCACATCAGGCACACAAATGCGAGGGAGGCTGGGGCACAGAAATCCAAAAAAGAAAGTTAACAAGAGCAAGATTTTTATATTTATATCTTCTAATAAGCCTTCATCCATCAACAATTTTTTTAAATGCTGCTTTAAGGTTCACTTGCTTTCATTCATAAACTGGAAAGCGAATCCCTGGACAGGTTTTAGATATATGCAAGATGACCCTGTGAATCCTTCATTATTACATACTTTATGATTTTTTTACAACTTGTATTTTGGGGGGGTCCTTCTTCCTCCTCCCTTGGACCTGCTGTACCCCTAGCCTCTGAAGCCTGCAGACTGATCACACTATTATTATCTTTCAACCATTCTGTCAGCCCCTCTTTTCCAGCCCTCAGACTGACCAAAGGCAAGAAAAACTATATATATATACAGTATGGTTTCCTTTTCTCTTCTTCCAGCATGACTGCAGATGCTACTTCTCCCTCAGGGACAAGCAGCTCTCCACACAGGCAGTTCACGCAAGTCTAAAGCCTTTTGCTAAGTCAAGTGTCACATGGGCTTCCATATTTAGCAAAGCAGCCCTGTTGCTGCAGGGAGAGAAGATTCTGGAACCCCTCTATGTAACTGATGTCAGCTGCACTCTCTGCTGAGCAGGGGCAAAGGAGACAAGACACCTTAGGCTGATGATTACATGTCTGTCAGTGAGCTCACGTTAATGGCAATTTGCAAGGGAACACATCACCCACTGGCTGACTGTGGGATTTTTATTGGTCTCTTTACTTTTTAAGCGTTCTCGCCATCTTGTGGCTACTTTCAATATTGCAGTTGAATGATTGGGCACAGGTTCAACCACCTTGCAAATCATTAACTCATCTATTCAAGTACTTTTTGAGACTCTAATATCTCAAGTACTTACACAGAAAAGCAAGTGGACAAAAGCAAATAATAAGAAAAAAGCCTAGGAGAATTAATGTAATTATTTTTCACTACACTTTAAACCTCAGTAGCCAGGCTTGTCGCTGCCAGAGGCCATCAAAACTTTTCATTTGGGCGGGGCACAGTGGCTGACGCCTATAATCTCAGCACTTTGGGAGTCAAAGGCAGGCAGATCACTTGAGGTCAGGAGTTCGAGACCAGCCTGGCCAACATGGCAATACCCCATCTCTACTAAAAACACAAAAATTAGCCGGGTGTGGTGGCACACGCCTATAATCCCACCTACTTGGGAGGCTGAGGCATGAGAATCGTTTGAACTGGCAAGGCGGATGTAGCAGTGAGCCGAGGTCACGCCACTGCACTCCAGCCTGGGTGACAGAGCAAGACTCCTTCTGAAAAAAGAAACAAAAAAACTTCTCATTGACTTTTCTGCCCAGCCATGCTGTCACCCCTAACCACATAGTAGAGTTAGACAGGTCCTGCTACATGTTAAGTCACTTAACATGTTTCTGTTAGAGCTATAAGACATCTGAGAAATGGAATCGAATGTCTATTTTATAGACCTAGAATTACATGAGGAATAAAAGCCCAGCATAGAAAAAAATATCCAAAAAAGCAAAAATTAAAATCATTTTAATTTCATCACACAGATCTTGATTAATATTTTAATGTAGATCCTTCCATATTTTTATGCTTATATGTAATAAAATAATATGCATGCTATTTTTAAACCTTCTCTTTAAAACATGTGAATATCTCTTTCTTGTTCACTACTATATCCCTAGAGCCTAGAACACTGTTTGGCACACCAGGGTTTCTCTGTAAATACTTGTTAAATGAATGAATGAATGTAAATAAACAAACCTGCAGAATTGCTTTTAATATCTGTATAATATTCTACTCTTAGGATATTGTGTATATATTTAACTAATCTACTCTTGTCTGATATTGTGACTCTTTCTTTTTTCTTTTTTTTTTTTTTTTTTTTTGAGACGAAGTTTCCCTCTTGTTGCCCAGGCTGGAGTGCAATGGCATGATCTCGGCAAACTGCAGCCTCTGCCTCCCAGGTTCCAGCGATTCTCCTGCCTCAGCTTCCCAAGTAGCTGGGATTACAGGTGCCTGCCACCACACCTGGCTAATTTTTTGTATTTTTAGTAGAGATGGGGTTTTGCCATGTTGGCCAGGCTGGTCTCGAACTCCTGACCTCAGGTGATCTACCTGCCTCAGCCTCCCAAAGTGCTGGGATTACAGGCATGAGCCACCATGCCCAGCTGATTCTTTCTATTTTTACTGTTAACAAAACTATAATAAGCAAAGGTAGTGGAATTTGATGAGTTTTACTAGATAGTAACATGGTAAAGGGGTCCCTCAGTCAACCTTGTGATTATGAGACCAGGTGCAGCAATGGTGGTAACTGCTTTCTAAACAAAATACAAGCTCTGCTACGGAGGATTGCATACTCCACACCTTTTATCCAACAAAATGAAACCAAAGTGACATCATCTTCATCAGAACTCTACGTATTGATTCTCGAGCCTAGCTGCAAATTAGCATTGCCTGCGGGAATTTCAGAACTAGGGATGCCCCCAGAGATTCTGCCTTCATTGGTCTGGGTAGGTCTCACCCACAAGGATTTTCCAGAACTCCTGGGTAACTCTAATGTGCAGCCAGGACTGAGAAACTCTGCTTTAAATAGAATGAGCCACAGGGATCATGTCAAGGAGACCTCATTATAGTACTTGTTTCCTAGTGAAGAAGCCCTCTGAGTGTGTGCAGCTCAAGATAAACACATGATGCCATGTATATTGTAGCTTCTCAGATCCAGTGCTGCAAGTTCTGCATGCTAATGCTGACTGGAACCCTTCAAACCTACTTTAGGGAATTAACAACAGAATTAATGCAAATGGAGCAAACGCCTAATAGACAACATGCCAATACCACAATGACTTTATGTACGTCAGGCATAGCCCTTGTGTACGTAAAGACATAAACTACACATTGCTGTTGTAATACAGTAAACCCATGAGCAGGCATTACCCTTGTAACTCAACATGAGTATCAGAATAGGCTTCAATTGTAGGGCAGGAGAAATTAACTTGGGAACTGCATACACGTGCTGTAATTGATTTAGCACCATTTGATAGATTTGTTAGGGTGTTTCTTCTCACAGATTCTTCAGAAACATAGACCACATATTCCCTTGACAATTCCCGTCACCTGCTTACTCTCAGCTTTCATTTTATGTTTATCAGACTTCTGAGCTATCCCGTCTGAACTGAGCATGCCCGGATCACGGAGGCCCACCCCAACCCTAAGGTACAATTAAGTGCTTCACAGGGGATTGAAATGCCAGACAGTGCCATGGGACAGAAAACACCATAGGGCATTGGATGGGATCCCTGTTCCCCGGGAGATTCTAGTTAATAATAAAAGTAAACAAAGTAAACAGCAGAGAAACATTCTCCAGTGCTGAAAGCCGTTCTAAACATACTTATTTAGGGAATAAAGTGTCTCCTTTAGAAAACTACAGTGAATTGACGGTTCGTTATATGTATTTCTTCCCACACAATTGGTTTTGATCCATGTGGTTCTTTCTTGCCTTTTAAGTGTCCTTCTTGTATTTTTTTTGGAGGGTCAGTGGGTCTCTCTAGAGAACTGGAAAGGTCAGTTATCTCCAATGTACTAGGGGTAGAATTCAAAGTAAGGTAGCTGGAAATTCTATTGATCCCTTGTTGATAGTGAAGTTTAAGCTCCCAGTATGCCTTCTTGAGCAGTTAGTTCACTGTCACAAAGAGTTCCACCTAAATCCATCACTTGGATCCAGGGCAGACGTGGAAATGTTGGACCAAAATAAAATTTCCCCAGCAGGGATGATCACACACATCCTTTTTAAAGGGGCCATTTCTGAAAACAACAGGTAATTAAACTGTATAATAATGAGACTCCTCACCACCCTTGGCTTCTGTGTCCCTCTGTTGCATAGTGGACATGGAAAATATGTCATAACCTTGTCTCTTATTTTCACTTCATCTCCATGTGAGGAGGAGATTTAGCGGTATCTATGTCATTAAGTCAAATAATCCCATAGAAAATACTCATTCTTGCAGCGCAAGAGGTTCATCCTCCCGCTTTAAGCCAATCCCACCCCTCTGGCCACAGACTCCACCCATCCTGCCTCTTTTGGGGACCTCCTCTATCATCCCTCTGCTTCTACTAGTGTTTTCCATTGACATTAAACATGCCCAGTCTCTCCCATGCTACAAATAAAGCCTCCACCAATCCTGCATCCTCTCATTATTGCCATAGGCTATCACCCTAACTCCCCCTACTCTGGCACACACAGACTTCGCCTAATTTATAGCGTCCACTTCCTCTCTTTTATTTATATCCTCAATTTGGCTGTAGCCTCTCCCATTCCACTAAGCCCTCTCCAGCCAAAATGACTTATTGTGTATTTGTTCTAACATGCAACAAGCACTTTGTAATCTTTTATTATTATTATTATTATTATTATTATTATTATACTTTAAGTTCTGGGGTACATGTGCAGAACATGCAGTTTTGTTACATAGGTATACATGTGCCATGGTGGTTTGCTGCACTCATCAACCTATCACCTACATTAGGTATTTCTCCTAATGTGCTCCCTCCCCTATTCCCTCACCCTCCAACAGGCCCTGGTGCGTGATGTTCCCCTCCTTGTGTCCATGTGTTCTCATTGTTCAACTCCCATTTATAAGTGAGAACATGTGGTATTTGGTTTTCTGTTCTTGTGTTAGTTTGCTGAGAATAATGGTTTCCAGCTTCATCCATGTGCCTGCAAAGGACATGAACTGATATCTTTATTCTACTGAACTTCCGGGGCAGCATTTAGCACTGTGGACCACTGTCTCCTTGAATCACTCATTTTATTTCACCTCAGGCCACCTCATTCTCTTAGGGTTTCTCTTTTTCCTATCTCTCTGTCCATTTTTGCCACTTCTCCTTCCTTTTGTTCTCCTAAACCTTATGTTTACACACGGTCCTGCCCTCTACCATTTTCTCTTCTCTGGAAAGCTTCCCTGCCCAAGGGATCCGTCCACTCCTTCGTCTCCAAATACCGACGGGAGCTGATGACTCTCAAAGCTCCACTTCATTCGAGCTTGCCCTCCTCAATCCTAAAACCATGTGTCCAACAGACCCCACAACCCCAACATGTCCCCGACTCAGCCTCCACTCGCCCTCAGCCCACTTCTATAGTTCCTGTCTCCATCAGCAGCAATGCCAAGAGCCTATTTGCCAAACCAGAAACCTGGCAATCCTCCTTCATGACCAAATGGCCAACTCCTGTCAAATCGACTTCCTAAATGTCTCAGACATATCTGCCTCCTTTTATCTTGGCCGCTGCTACTTTTAATCCAGGCTACTGACATTGACTCGCACTGGGACCACCTTGGCCAGCTCCTGGCAGGACTCATTGCTTCCATTCTTTCGGATCCAGTCTCGTGCTGCAGGCAGAACACTCTTTCTCTCTCTGTCGGCCGCAATCTGTCCTTGTTGCCGGGACTTCCCCATCGATGTCAGAATGCAAATTCCTTAGCTTATGCTCTGTGAGGTTCTCTGTAATCTACCCGCTTGCCTTCCACCCTTCTATGTGTTGATCAGCTCCCCTGCACCGCACTGCAGCCCTGTTCCCAGTACTTGCAGTTCCTTCAACTTGCCTCGCTGTATCTCACCCCTTGCCCTTTGCACATGCTGTTCCCCTGGGCCTGTCTGAAATGTGCTTCCACCAGCAAAGCTACCCCACTCCACTTCTGGCCTATGCTTCCTCATATGCAGCTTCCCTGGTAAAGCCTCCTTTGGTCCCCAGTATCTGTGACAGTGGCCTCCCTGCATTCTCCCAGAGCACCTGTGCGTGCTTCCCTCACATCACTTCTTACATTGGACTGAAATTGCTGCTTGTCTGTGGTTTCCCCACTTTAATAGGGCTGTACCTTCCTTACAGGAGGGGCCAAATCTTATTCATGATTTGCCCACACCTATCACATGCCTGACATACAGTAAGGGATCAAGAAATATTCATTGCAGCAAGGTTTTACTTTCCTAATGCAGGGTTGTTATGGGGAATAGTGATGGAAATAATCATTTTAAAGGCATTAAAGTAATAACAGCACCCCCAGAGAAAGATGATATATCAGCCTTTTACCTGTTAATGTAATTTTCAGACATATCTGTATGTCATAAACTGTTAAAATAGCCCAGCTAATAGGGTTCCTTTAATTTGTCTGAGTGAATGAATAAAACTATAATTAAAAGGGTGTGCCTTGTAGTTACTTGCAAGTATTCATAAAAATCAGACACTAAAGTAATAAAACAGTCAGTGACAAGAGAGGCAAGCTGCAATTTCCAGGTACTGGAGTCACTGTGTGTTTGCCTGCACCCTCTTCTGGGTTGACTGAGAATAGCTTAAGCGTTGAAAAGACTCCCAAAGGACATCTTTATGCTTAGGATAAGCCCTGCAGTGTGGTTTCACATTCAGATCAACTCTGTCTTTCTAAATGAGAAGGAATTGTTGAGGAAAGTGTATGACATTACGATTGATCAAGAAACTGCTTTTTTCCAGCATGGCATGAGCTCACTGCGCAGGAGACTGCACGCCCGGGTCTGTGATGTGTGGTGCCTCCCTGTGTCCATCCCACTGAGAGGGATGGGCTCCATGGTGGTCACAAGAGGGCCATCATCACTGGGGACACAGCTTGCCCCCTTACACCACCAGTGGCCCCTGCCCTGGCAGCCAGAAAACCAAGCTAGGGGACCTCCTCTGTCTAGTGGACCCTCCCTGAAGCACATTGGCCAGATTTAGCAAATATTTAACAAATATTTTATCTGGCAACCCTATCTCTGACATACCTCACCCCACTGTATCGCCTTCTGGTCTCCTTGCTTCACTTCTTCAAACCACTTGTTCTTCCTCTTAAAGATTGGCCTCTTAAATTGCTTGAACTTAAGATTTTTTACTTTATTATTTTTAACTTGTCTGAATCCCTCCTTCCCCCTCTTTCTGTTGTTTTTAAACAACTTCCATTTAGCTCATCATTTTTTTTTTCGAAGCGGATACCTTTATCTTGTGATTTATTATTACTTTCATCTTACTTTAACTCCCACTCATCTTGTGCTGAGAGGCTTTCAAGCTTTACATTTTCTGGTCTCTAAAATTGTTTGTTCTTTTGCATTGTCTTGGCTTATTTTAATATTTTATCATGGGAAGCTGAGGTGAGTGGATTGCTTAAGTCCAGGAGTTTGAGGCCAGCCTGGACAACATGGCGAAACCCTGTCTCTACAAAAAATACAAAAATACACTACGCCAGGCGTACTGGTGTGTGCCTGTAGTCCCAGCTACTTGGGCGGCTGAGTGGGGAGGATTACCTGAGCCCAGGAGGTAGAGGCTGCAGTGAGCAGAGATTGTGCCATTGTACTCCAGCCTGGGCAACACAGTGAGACCCTGTCTCAAAATATATATACATATCAATTTTTATATTAAAGTCCATGTTCAGTGCCTGACTTGTATATGAATTATTCTTTGCCTCATTTTTACTTTATCTACTTTTCACTAATCATTCCTAACTCTTGTGTGTGTGTTTTCGTTTTAACTCGACGTTTTGCTTGATGTTTAAACCTCTTTTGCTTGTTTTTTCTTTCATTGCTCAGGTAAGTGTTACCTTCCATTTTTATGTTTAAATGTTATCTTTTTCTTTTTTTACGAAGGGCAGTTGAGAAAGCATGTTGATAAAGGGACAATCTGTAGGCGGCCCTGCTCTTGGGAGGAATGTGTGTTTTCTTGCTGAGGGTACCTCCTAGGGGAGAGGGTAAGGGGATCAGGAGCCCATTCCAGGCATGTTCTTTCACTTTGTTTCTTTGTAAGTAAAGAAATAAGGAGCACTGAGTCAGGAAGTGAGGCAAACCATGGGCTGATGGAGGCCCTGTTGGGCTACTGGAGAATAAGGATTCTCTTTTCTGCTTCTAACAGTGATTTTGCAACAGTATCTACACACCGGTACCAAAAACATTACTACAGCCTATTTCTGTACATAGACAGCTGCTTCTTGGCCTTCATTGTAAGTGAAGAAAGTAGAGGATACCTAAGAACAAGAGGCTCCTCTTGTAATCCTCCCCAAAGATGGTAATGTGATCCAAAAAGCTAATGCAAAGGAAGAAAGCAGAGAGAAAGGAGGGAAGGAAAGGTTGGAGGAAAGGAGGAAAGAGGGAGGGAGAGAGGGCAGAGAAAATAAAATGGATTTCACGCATTTTTTGGTTTGTTTGTTTTGAGATGGAGTCCTGCTCTGTCGCCCAGGCTGGAGTGCAATGGCACAATCTTGGCTCACTGCAACCTCCGCCTCCTGGGTTCAAGCAATTCTCCTGCCTCAGCCTCCCGAGTAGCTGGGATTACCGGCGCCCGCCACCATGCCTGACTAATTTTTGTATTTTTTGGTAGAAACGGGGTTTCACCATGTTGGTCAGGCTGGTCTCGAACTCCTGACCTCAGGTGATCCACCCGCCTTAGCCTCTCAAAGTGCTGAGATTACAGGGGTGAGCCACCGCACCTGGCCCAAGCGTTTTTATATAAGCTTTCTTATTGTACAGACTAAGACAGAAAAAAGAATCAACCACCTTAGACAGCCTGGAATCCCTGAAAAATAAACTCCAGTGTCTATGCTTGACAGTGGTTTCTCAACAAGGGAAGTGGGGGGAATTTTGCTCTCCAGGGGACATTTGGCAATGTCTGGGACGTTTTTGGTTGTCATAACTTGGGAGGGGCTGGAGAATGCTACTGGCATCTAACAGTGTAGCCAGGGAGTTGCTAAGCCCCCTACATGCACAGGACATCCCCTTGCAGACAATGCAAATGATCCAGCCCTCAAGGTCAGCAGAACTGAGATTAAGAACCTGCTATAGGCCAGGCCTGGTGGCTCATGCCTATAATCCCAGCACTTTGGGGGACGGAGGGAGGTGGATCACCTGATGTCAGGAGTTCGAGACCAGCCTGGCCAAAATGGCGAAACGCTGTCTCTATTAAAAATACAAAAATTAGCTGGATATGGTGGCACGTACCTGTAATATCAGCTACTCAAGAGGCTGAGACAGGAGAGTCACTTGAACTCGGGAGGCAGAAGTTGCAGTGACCAGAGAGCACACAACTGCACTCCAGCCTGGGCGACAGAGCAAGATCCTGTCTCCAAAAATAAAGAACCTACTATAATGAGTTTTCCCAACAATCTTCCCCTTACCTTCCAATACTTCTAGGTTCGTCCATTGGATGAACTTCTAGGTTCTTCCATTGGATGAACATACAACATCTCCTCGGGTAAACATAGTGTCAGCTCCATCAACAAACAGTGTCCCAGTTCATCTCTGTGGTATCACTTTTCTCCACATCTTTCCTAGGCTGAGGGGCATAACCTGGATTTTCTTTTCCCAGCATTCATTTTCTTCCTCTTGAATGTTCGATTGCTCCATCAATCAACTGGATGATGATTGAATGAATCAATACATTCATCAATATATGAAGAACATATAACTGGCCTGGAGAATGTGCAGATTCGCTCACTACTCTCTCAAAGCAGGATGAACTATCCATATTTTGATAAAGCTGAACAAACCCACACTGTCCATCTCAACAGGCCACTTAAGACCCCAGCAACCCGGTCCCCAGAAGACACTCAGCTTACTTAGGGCAATGACACCATTTGTCGAGACCCAACCGGCCCCTTGTGACTGCCTTCCTCCATGAGTTCCAAACATCCCTGGTGGCTTTTTCAACTTACGAATTTGAGGTGAAGGAAGAAGAGAAGCAAACGTCTTCATGAGAGGTGACAAAGTGTGGTGGTGAAGAGCGAGGGTCCTGCAGCCAGACACCTGCTTTCGGCTCCCAGCTCTGCCATGCATTACCTGGGAGACTTGGCCACCTTCCTTAACCACTGTGTTCCTCAGTTTCCTTATTTATAAGGTGGGAATGCCGTCAAGGGTTCCTGAGAGGATCAAATGAATAAGGATAAGGAAAGCACTTAGAACAGTATAAGGCACAAAGCAACTGTGTGGTAAAGGGTGGATATTATTAAAGGGAGACATGTCTTCAAGTAGGAGCCAAGAAGTGAATGTTCCCATCACTAATACCAACCTAAAATAGCATTAGTCCAAATGTATCATGCACGTGGTCAGCATAGCCAAAGGTTGCCTCACTGCAAGGTTAAAGAAGAAGCTAAACAAATTTCACTTCCTTACAAGGGCAACAGGACTGGACTCCATCCTTCTTGACATGGGTTGTTTCCTCTTTCCTATTTAAGAATGAGCACATTGGGTGCAATTCTCCAAGGCTCCCCACTGGTTTATTCTGCCCTCCTGGCCTTTGCCCTTAGAAAGGTTTATAGCCTTCTCCCTAATAACTCAGTACATAATCATTAAGAAGCATGAGTAAAATGGGACTTTAATTACTTTATTAAAGGTAATAAATATGTCTATGCCCTTGAGATCATATAAAAATAGCTTAAAATCATTGGCCATAGTTATATTTTCCACGAGCTGAGTTTTAAAATATGTATAAAGTCTGTGGTAAATTAAGAGAGATTTCAGCCTACTAACAATTCCTAAACCATTCTAAATGGGTCAGGAATTCAACTGGGATATCTATGATTTTTTTGTTTCTTCTTATTTCCTGATAATGCCATATGTTTTATAATTTAGCATCTTATTAAGGAGGTGAGAGCCTTAAAACTTTTAAAGTCAATTCCTGTTTTTAACTATTAAAAATAATTTTTAGTGGAGAGTTTGCTTATTATTATTTTGACACAATGCCTGCATTCATTTTAAGATTTAGGGGATTACTGAGCTATTCTTTTACATATCTCCAGCATATCATGCAGCATCTGGAACAGAGAAGACATTTTCATTTATGTTTATTAAATAACCAAAACATACATATGAATTAACAAATAAACTATATATAAAGGCAATAGTTAGGGCTTTCTTTTAGCATTTCCTTTTGTCTTTAAACTAGTCTCTTTTATAGAAACTACTCATTACGGCCGGGTGCAGTGGCTCATGCCTGTAACCCCAGCAATATAGGAGGCTCTGAGGTCAGGAGTTCAAGACCAGCCTGCCCAACATGGTGAAACCCCATCTCTACTAAAAATACAAAAAAAATAGCCAGGCGTGGTGGCAGGTGCCTGTAATCCCAGCTACTTGGGAGCCTGAGGCAGGAGAATTGCTTGAACCCGGGAGGCGGAGGTTGTGGTGAGCTGAGATCTTCCCACTGCACTCCAGCCTGGGCAGCAAGAGCAAAACTCCATCTCAAAAAAAAAAAAAAAAGTGAAGAAAGAACAGAAACTACTCATTACAGTAGTTTACTTGCCGTAAGAATCACATCAAACATTAAACCTTTCCACCTTCATTTTCCTAACACCTCTTTGACTTGGGGAAGGATAAATGACTCTTTACCTGCAGGGTGAACCAGCTACATACCCCGAGGCACTGACCCGGACTCAGTCTAGCACAATCAGAACCCCATCCAACCAGCCTAATATGTCATGTAAAGGGCACGGTCTGACTTCTGAGAGAGGTGGATCTCAATCTCATCGCTGCTGCTTCTTAATCCCTTTGAGCCTCAATTTCTTTTTGTATATAAAGGGAACAATAGTGATTTTGTTGAGATGAGGTATGCAAAGTCCCTGGCATGCAGTGAGCACTCAGCAATAAGTGCTATTTATTGGGCCAGGATTCCAACTAGTTTCATAAAAATAGCAGGAAAGTCCAGTGGAAAGCCCACTTGATGGTAGGGGAGGCTTCTACCCACCAACTAATTCCATGTTTCTCAACCCTGCACTGAACGTCAAAATCACCTGGGGAACTTTTGAAAAATTATGATGCCTGGTCCCAACCCCATGGAGCCTGGCTTAAATGGGGACAAGATAGCTATAGATTTTTAAAGTTTCTCCAGGGGATTCTAATGACCACCCAGGGTGGAAAAGCATGGAGCTAACGGGGTGCAGGACCAGTGTCCTCATAGGAAGTCAAAGGTTTGGTGGTAAACAACCACTGAAGCACATTTTCAAGGTAAGATCCATTGGAATGTATATTCCTGTCCTTAAACTCAAACTAGTTTAAAGTGATGGGTATCTTTTAATAAGACCTTCAGCGCTGGTTCTAGAGCTGCCTGTTCCCATACTATGTGTCTAATCAGCAGCCATATATTCATTTAAGTACAAAATTTGTCGAACACATCCTATATGCTAGGAACTGTGCTATTCTTCTGGGGTCCAGAACTGAGGGTGACACGGTCTTTGCTGTCATTTCCGGTCTAGTGAAGGAGATAGAGGAGAGTGACAGTTCTATGTGACAGACAGCAGGAGAGGGATAACTAAAACAGGCTCAGGAGGGAGAGGGCATGACAGCACATCCAGAGAAGGTGATGACAAGGAATTAACCAGGCAGAGAAGAGAGGTCCAAAGACAGGATTTTGGTGGCTTGAGTGAGGAGTATTTGCCAGTTTCATGTAACAACCATAAATTCATATTGCTTTATATTTAACTTATCAGTTTAAGTCAGTGGGCACCTTTTATACATTTAAGATGATATTAGGATAGTAGGGGCTTAGAATATTCCTACGTGGCAACATCTCATTAATTAAATTTCCTGGGATGTATGTGTGACAGTGTCCCAACATAGCATAGTAAAGAGGTTGAATGAATAACTTTTAGTATTGCTTCTAACTATTTTAAAGTTCTAGAACAGAAGTGGAATGGTTTTGCAAGTTGCCTTTCTCTCACTTTATTTCTGCTTTTCTATTTATGTAATAGACTAATTAAGGCACATTTTGTGTGTCTGTCATTGTCTATATATGAGATAGTCAGATTCATGGAAATGTCACTTGTGGTCTGAGTGTAAAATGAAATCTCTGGTAGTTGGCCTATTGACAGCTCTGGTTTTCACCAGTTAGAATGACTTAAAAATATATTACTTCTTATGCTCAGTGGCATTCGACTATAGAATTACTGCAATCTAGGGATTTGGGAGGGATATCAAAACATTTCAGAATTGATACTTGGCTTACAATACATATAAATTATGTGTTTCTATTTTCTCATTTCCTATGATCATAGAGCTAGAGTGCTCAAGGGGTCAGCCTTTTCTCCCTCCAAAAACCTCATGTTTAAAGATGCTTTCAGAGCTTTCAATGAAAAGTGCTCTTGATAATAAACTAAAATATTTCCTTCTCTCAGATCATCTGTATGTTTTTAGCTTTGAGAACTAAAAAGCACTATTCAATGCAGAGTATGAAATCAGTCAGTATTCTCTCCTTTAAAATCCAAAATTAACTAAAAATAAATAAATACATAAAAGGAGAATTTTTTGGCTCTAGGGATAGTACTAGCTCAGGCAAGGATGAACACAGACCCTTAAGTGTCATCATGACCCTTTCTATGTGTCTCCATCTCTTGGTTCTGTTGTCTTCGTTTTCTAGCAGGATCTTTCTACACAGAGGAAACTGAATACACTTCATGACCTTTGAATGGGAAACCCACTCTCAGTGAAGCTTTCCAGTCCCCCAAAAGAACTCCAATTGGCTCTGGTTGGGTCACGTGTCCACTCTGGATCAATGATTACATTTAGAGAAATTAGGCTTTCTGATTGACACTTGGCTCGACCACTGTGATTGGACAGCACACTTGAAGGATGGACCCATCAGAACCACATGAAGAGGCACAGAGTAGTTCCCTGAGAAAGGAATTGAGGCAGATAAACTAAGAGTTGGCCAATACTGGTAATCATGTTATTATAAGGTTTCTCTATTTCCTCCTTCAAATTTTTAATATTTCCACTAGATAAAAATGAAGATCTAATTTAAAATATTAACTAGATTCTATAGTTGGCATTTCCTCTTTTTAAAGTCCTTTCAGCTACTGACATATTTCCCTTCAATGAACAATTGGCTTTTTCCGTTACATTACAAAATTCTCTTTGGTTAGTCAACTGTCTGGGCAACTCTTAGAAGCTCATATTACTAGTGCATCAGAAAAATAATTATAGTTTAAAGTAGAAATAAGTTAACCAAACCTAATCAGCTTGAGGTTTTTATTTCTCCAGAGAACCAGATAAGGGAAGAAGGAGAGAAGTTTGAAAATCATGAGCAATTTCACTTATGTGCTCTCCACTATATAAGACTTCTATGAATAGTTGCTAGTGTCTTTTATTTCTATGTAGTTATTGCAATTTGAAAGCATTCATTTCCACTCAAGGAGCCTCTAACAAGGTAGAACTACTTGTGGAGGTCATTTTGATCTAAGGTTGGTCCTCAGTTTTGAAGATCTAGAAATTTCATTAATTTTTCCCCAGTACATTCAAACATGATCACTGTCTCCAAATCAGCCTGGTACCAAATTCACAGAAGGAACCTGGACATCTTTCTTGAAGAAGAAGGAGTGGGTACTAATTCAGGATATTAGAAGAGTAGAACCATAGTCTAGGTTGGAGTTTGTGAGGGCCTCTATACACCAGAGGCAAAGGGGTTAAATAAGAGAGATGAGAGTGGAAGGTGTTAAGAAGATAGAATTGGGATGGCTTGGTCACTATTAAAGTTTGTGAGCTTTCAAGAAAGATGTCCAGGTTCCTTCCATGAGTTTTGTTCTACCTTGTTAGAGGCTCCTTGAGGCCTTTTCTTACGATGCAGAGTGGTAGTATAATGGAACATCAATGTCATGTTTTAATTATTATTTCACAATATAAAAAGACAACCTGTGTGTCCATCTATGTGATTCTTGAATAATTCCCACAAAATCTCCAGCTTAGCCTATGTAGCTGTGAGACATTCACCAACTAACTCAAGAGACAGCTTATTCTTTTTTTGAACAGTTGACATTTAGGGATGTTCTTCTTTATATTGATCTAATATCTATCTCACTATGCCTTCCATCCATCAACCAAGAATCGCACCTGGGCCTGGTAGAACAAGCCCAAATCCTTTCTCATAGGACAACCCTTCAAATTCTTCAAGATCGTTATCGAGTTCCCCTTCATCTTTGCTTCTCCAGACCAAACTTTTCCTGTTTTACTTTATGAGTTTATGTAAAGAAAATAAACCGAAATTAAAAATAGAATTGGACAATAATATGGAGACTGCCTATTATAGATGAAGCAGTGAGCTCAGTCCCAGGGATAAATAGGATGGAAAGCTTGGTGGCTGTCCCTAACGCATTCACAGTCTAGTGAAGAAGCCAGTGCATACGTGGAAAGAATAATAAAATGTGCTAAGTGCAGTTGCAGAGATTTAAAAAAAAAAAAGGGTGCTGTGCAAATATGATGGAGGAGACAATTCTGCCTGCAGCAGTCAAGGAATGTCTGGCAAAGGAGGTGAAGTGTGAGCTGAATCTTGAAAGGCAGATAAGAATGGGGCAGGTGACTATGGCATGGAGCTGGGTGGGGAAGTGGGGCCAGCCTCTGTGTGGTCCTCCACAAAGAGGGAGCACAGGCACATGCAAAGGTTAAGAACAGTGTGCTCATGGAACTGCAGGTCAGCCGGGTGCTGGATGCCCAAGCGGTAGGAGGAACAGGAGGAAGGAGATGACCCATGGCAGGCAGGAAGCCGCACATCTCCTTGTAGGTCCTTGTAGGTTTGCTTGACAACATGAGAACCGCTTTCCTGCTAGCCATAAAGAACCACTGGATGATTTTAAGCCTAGAAATGATACCGTCAAATTTCAATTTAGCAAAATGCATCAGGTGGCTGCATAGAGAGAAGAAGATGGCATGAGGAGACGGTGGGGGGAAACAGAAATGATCAGTGCATAGCAGTACTTAGGCAATGGAGGTGGAGAGGCAAGGTGAGGACCCACATTGTCACAGAGGTGAAGTCTCCAGGACTCCTCAGTACTTGAGTGGATGTGAGTGAAACAAATGGTCAGGAAGATTAAAAACAAAATTTTTTTTCTTAAAGACTCCAACTTTTTCAGTCATTTCATGTCATACTCTTGCCCATCTCCCCACCATTTGGTTACATGTTGATGGAAACTAGTGACCCTTCTCCCACAATTTCACTGCAACCTATTCTTCCTTGTGGTGCAGTGATCTTGCAATAATAACGATGTCACTATTTACATTGTGGTGCCGTCTTAAACTGCAATTAATTCACAGTTCCAGGCTATTAGGAACTATTGTCATAACAGCTATGGCTTCCTTTATCTGCAAATGCTGAGTTGTGAGATGTATAATTATATGCGGGAGTAATTGGTTTTAAATTTATTTTTGTAATTACACTAATTGAACATGGATGTGAATTTAAAAATATGAAGGGCATGGCATCGAGCCGGATGCGGTGTCTTCATAAGAGGTAGATGAAAGAAATGATTGTTATGAGTAGGTGAAAACAACCTTGCTCATTTGTAAAAGTGCAGTGTAAATACAATGGCCCATGTATCCCCTCCAGGTTGAATGCCAGTGTAGTACAGTTGCCAAGTGGAGTCTTCATGAGAGTTCATTTGAAACTGGACCAATGCCTAAATCAAGGGGAGAGCATCCTGGCTGCTGCTGTGACTTAAGATCGGCAGCATTCCCTTGGACCTCCCCCATGAATATTTGAAATTTCCCTAGAAGACATGCCCAGTAGCGTCTAAGCTCACCACTCTTGCATACCCAGGGCTTACGATTCCCACTATTCTTCAACTTCTAACAAACAACCATTGGTGATCTCTCCAAGCCCCACATTCGAAGATCCCAGTTGCCTTCAGTATCTGTCCAGCCCTGCCCTGGCAAACTCCGCAGCCTTCGCCTGGTGGTGGCAGTGAGTTCTAGAGAACAGAGCTGCTTAATCTCCCTTGGCTCAGCTCCTTTATATGAGCCCATCTGCTCTTCAATTCTGTGTAGATCAGAGCCAAGTCCAGGCTTTGTATAAAACACTTGGGGCCCCAGACCAGCCAAGAGGGAGGAGTAGGCAGGTTTTCTGCTGCACATCTTCCTAGACGAGCTCTACTGTATAAGCTGATAGACCAAGGATTATATCAGGCCCTTTAGTGTATCTATCAGCAGCAATGTGCCATAACCACTGAAACTCTAATAATGGCCCCCCAGGATGCATTTGTCTCCCACTTGCCAGTTCATGTCTTATAAAACCTTAGGTGTCTAGTGATAGGTGTCCAAGCATAATCGTAGGAGGATACCAGGCCAATGAGAATTGGCAGACTCATGCACTAACAAAATGCATATAGTACTTGTTTTGAAAAATAGGAAAAGAAAATCTGCTTGATCAAATTCTTTTTTTCTCTAGGAAAATGTATTGCTAAGAAAAACAAACAGGCTTTACCAAGTGAAAATAAATACCTTCAACTTTTTCCTCTTTAAGTAAATTAGGAAACAGTAACCAAGGATCCAGTTGCAGCTTTGTTCATCAGCACCATGAGCACGTACATATTATTATTGACAGAAGTCCCCTTTTGTCAGTAATAGCCGCCGTCTACTGGATGCCCACTATGAGCAGGCCATTCTCTAATCTTCCACATAGTCATGAAGATGGGCATTTTCCCATTTTGCAGATGAGAAAACTAAGGTGCAAAGACAGGTTAAGTGGCAAAGCCTGGATCTGAATCAGATCTGGCTGGCTCTGCTGCACTATGGCAGTTCAGCAAGTGAGTCTCTGGGAACCTTAGAGATGGGAAGATGGGACATGTACACATAGAACTGTGGCGCATGGTGTCATGTGGCAGGCATCCCAAGGGTGGCAAAGTGGCATAGGAGCTCAGAGGGAAACACCATTTCTGACTGGCATGAAAGCTCAGTTTGGCTGGCAAAGGGGCTGCATGGAGATGGTGAGGAACAGTCCCCAAGGTGTCCAATCACAACCTCACAAACAGTTTGCAAGCCAATCCCCTACAACACTTAACAAAGCTGTGCAAAACTGGTGCTCAGGAAATCCCTGTTGACTTAGAAGGCTCACTACCTTTCATTTCCTGACTTCCCATGTTGTGGATTCTGCCTAGCCATAGATCTCATGGCCATATGTGATTTCCAAACTCTTTGTAGGTTCGTTTCAATTTTCTGTGTTTCTTCTAGTTTCTGCAGAAATCGACATTGGGGGCTTTGTGTTTCAGAAATCAACATTGGGGTTTTGTGTCTTCCAAAAAAAAAGAAAGAAAGAGAATTAGAATATATATCACACCATATCTTACTTTGGAAAAGAATCCCCAGAGGAAAATACACTTTTAAAAATATTGCATATCCTTTATCTTAGCTGGTGAGAAAGTCTAGCTTTTCTGTGAACTTGCCAGAGAGCTGGTAAGTAAAAACAATTTCTGAATAAAATGCTTGCAATACTGAGGTGTCTGCTAGAGGGCAACATATGTTAAATAATAATGTGGCTGTTTTTCTGCAGGATGGCACAAAGATTATCTAGTTCAAAAGCAAAGTCCAGAGCCTATGATACTCAAATGATTTTTTGTTTAAAAAAAAAATCCAGGGTGACCGCTGGCGTCTCAGCTGAAAACCAGCAGCCTTTGCAGTTTTGCTATCTTTCAGGGGGTTTATAATGGATACATTTATAAGTGCCTTTGTACCCTTTCCAAAGAGCTTTACAAAATAATCTCATTGTCATTTAAAGTAGCTAAGTCTTCTCCACCACCAACTGTGAAATCCTCTCCAGAAAGCTCTATTAACTTTATTACCTGAAAACAAATCAATCAAAGAGGAAGGTGAAAGGAAAATACATCATTTAGGACAGAGAGACATGTGATGAGTGTTGTACCTCAAAGCTGCATTTTATTTATTTATTTGTTTGTTTGTTTATTTATTTGAGACGGAATCTCGCTCTGTCACCCAGGCTGGAGTGCAGTGGTGAGATCTCGGCTCACTGCAACCTCCGCCTCCCAGGTTCAAGTGATTCTCCGGCCTCAGCCTCTCGAGTAGCTGGAATTACAGGCATGCACCACCATGCCTGGCTAATTTTT
Source organism: Homo sapiens (assembly GCF_000001405.40). Taxonomy (NCBI): domain Eukaryota; kingdom Metazoa; phylum Chordata; class Mammalia; order Primates; family Hominidae; genus Homo; species Homo sapiens. The sequence continues at coordinate 12,912,170 of NC_000006.12, forward strand.
TTGTATTTTTAATAGAGACGGGATTTTGCCATGTTGGCCAGGCTGGTCTTGAACTCCTGACCTCAGGTGATCCACCCACCTTGTCCTCCCAAAGTGCTGGGATTACAGGCATGAGCCACCGTGCTTGGCCCAAAACAGCATTTAATCTCAAGAGCAGACAAGGGTAGGCCCCCAGGGGACCCTATTTGTAACACTAATCAGAGGGCCTATGTTGGTAATTTTTTCCATTATCTGTGGTGCCCACATCATGTTATCCAAAGAGAGACTCCGTTGTCCAGTTTTGAAAAGGTTTTTCTGGCTGGTAATTTTAGTGCATACCTCTAAAGTGAAGCTATGCTTGGTATAAAAGTAAACATGCAAGGGATGTAGATGTTACTCACGTTGGGCCTGTTTCCCCCATGCCTTCCACTCCCCCACCCTGATAGCATACCTTTGCTGAGGAATAGGTTTGTTTCATCCTCATTTATCTAAGAAATGAAGGTTCTAAAAAATTGGCTTGTAGGCTGGGCGCAATGGCTCATGCCTGTAATCCCATCACTTTGGGAGGCTGAGGCAGGCAGATTGCTTGAGCCCAGGAGTTCGAAATTAGCCAGGGCAATATGGCAAAACCCCATCTCTACTAAAAATACAAAAAATTAGCCAGGTGTGGTGGTGCGTGCCTGTAGCCCCAGCTACTCAAGAGGCTGAGGTGGGAGGATCACCTGAGCCCCAGAGGCCAAGGCTGCAGTGAGCTGAGATTATGCCACTGCACTCCAGCCTGGGCAACTGGAATGAGACCCTGTCTCAAAACAAACAAACAAAAACCTGGCTTTTAAAGCCATCATAAATATATTTTGTAGGAGGGATTTGTCATGCCTGAAAAAGCTTCATACCTGTTCCCCTATCTCCCAGCATGCATACTTTAGCAATATCCGATCAGAAACCAAGTTTCCTACAGAAAAACCCAAGGTAGACATACAACCAAAACATTTTAAATTGTTCCCATCTGATAAAAGCACAAAGGATGATGTCTCCTTGGAAAGAGATCATGCAGAATATGGAACAGCACTGGCTCCAGAGGTCATCAGGTGACTAGCCTGTGAGGCTAGGCTGTCAGGCAAATTGGCCGTGAGCTCTCACTGTGTCCCAAGAGCACTTAAAATGTCAAAACCTTCACTCAAATTTTAGCACACAAAGTCCCACGACCCCGTTGCTGCAAATCCAAAGAGCCATATGACAGTTAGGCACTGGGCAACCTTGAACTTGGTAGGACTGATTAAACGCTAACAGCTTCCATCTGAGACCATGTCTCCCCAGGAAATGTCCGAATGGATAAAACTGTTCTCAAATCATATAGGGGCTCCCAGCTGACTCCAGAGGCCCACCCTGCATGCTCTCTAGTACGAGAGAACTCCTTAGAGGTGGGATGATTTTTCTGGTATCCTTATCAAACTCCAGCTCTGGAGTAGCATAATGCATCGCACATTTATCTCAGCCCCTCTCAAAATCAGAGAGGATCTCAGGGCCTCAAATCCTGAGAGGTCTGATGATTTTTGTGGCCCAGAATCATCAGCAGCTGAGCTGCAAACCTTTGGGCATGTTTCATGATGAAGAAGAGGAAGCGATATCCCAGGTGTTCCTGAATAACAAACACGTCACTGTTCACAAACAGGAGGTGGTCACAGAGGTGACCTGTTTACACCCTACTCATTTTTGACACTTTTGAAGATGTTGTTTCTGGGAACAACCTGAAGCAGACTCTGAAGACACTCAATTCCACTGAGTGGTCTGAGACAACTTCTTTTCTTTTCTTTTTCTTTTTTTGTTTTTTTGTTTTTTGATAAGGAGTCTTGCTGTGTTGCCAGGCTGGAGTGCAGTGGCGCAATTTCAGCTTACTGCTACCTCCGCCTCCCAGATTCAAGCAATTCTCCTGCCTCAGCCTCCCAGGTAGCTGGGATTACAGGCACAAGCCTCCCAGGTAGCTGGGATTACAAGCACATGCCACCATGCCCAGCTAATTTTTGTATTTGTAGTAGAGACGGGGTTTCACCATGTTGGCCAGGATGGTCTCAATCTCTTGACCTTGTGATCTGCCTGCCTCAGCCTCCCAAAGTGCTGGGATTACAGATATGAGCCACTGCTCCCAACAGAGGCAACTTCTTCTTCCAGCTTCTGCTAGGTCTCCTCCTACCTCTGAGTCTGCTCCTTCTCACCTCTTTTGCTGGCTCCTTCACTCTGCCTAGTCCTTAAACTTGGGGAATCCTAAGGATTCCATTCTTGACCTCGCTTAGCTCTGAAACTGTATGTCCGCACTTCACTTCAGCTACTATAGATGCGCTGAAGACATCTGTATCACCAACCTGAGTTCTACATTCTTGCCCTAATCACTTATTTGATTTCTCCGCCTGGAGGTCCTACACACACCTTAAATGTAGCAATTGCAAATATGAATTCATTCTCTTTACCACCAAAAGATTTTCCTCCTTCTCAGTCTCAATAAGGACCACCATCCACTCAGTTGCTCTCTCAGGGGGAGCAATCAGGAGACAGAAATCACACGGTCAACTGAAAAAAAGGAACAATATTAAAAAAAATCATTAAACTATGACAGTGGAGTAACTATAAAGAGGACTCTTAAGGGCAGTCTAGAGCTAAGGAAAAGTAGGCAAGTCAGGACAAATTTGGAACTGGGACCCCTCCTAAGGACTGAGGTTCAGGTCCACTGGAGAAAGTGTCCTTGAAGTCCACTGGATGATGGAGAATTTGGCTGAGTTGTCCACACCAGAGCTGATCAACAGTCACTCGGCAGCAGGAACTGGCCCTCTGTGATGAAGGTGAGCCTAGGTTGATGGGCAGTTCACAAGGGAGTTGGAGCTCAAGTCCTGGAGTATGTCTTGTCTGCATAAAGACGGCTTCAGCAATGTGATGCCAGGGCAAGCCAGAGCAGTGAGGTGACCAAGGGACTGCATATTCTGGGTGTGCAGCTGGGGAGCCTTTGGATGTCCACACACACACACATCTGCACCACCAGAGTGAGAGCAAGAAAATGCAAAACTCAGCATCAAAACCAGGAGGAGCCAGGGGCAGTGGCTCACGCCTGTAATCCCAGCATTTTGGGAGGCCAAGGCAGGTGGATCACTTTGAGCTCAGGAGTTCGAGATTAGCCTGGGCAACATGGCAAAACCCTGTCTCTACTAAAAATACAAAAATCAGTAGGGCAAGGTGATGTGCACCTGTAATCTCAGATACTTGGGAGGCTGAGGCAGGAGAATCGCTTGAACCCAGGAGGCAGAGGTTGCACTGGGCTGAGATCACTCCACTGCACTCCAGCCTGGGTGATAGAGTGAAACTCTCTCTCAAAAAAAAAAAAAAGAAAAAAAAAAAAAACAGGAGGAGAAGTGCCCTTCTTCCTGCAATGTCCCTCCAGTACCCTCCATGGACATAGTAGAAGAGAAATGCTTAGAGTCCAGTTTACTATCACAGAGCAGGTACTAAGAGGTGAATTTGGAGCTGAGCTATAATAAATCTGACCAGCACAGTTGCCCAAACTAAACTCCTTCCTACTCACTCCTCATAGTTAGTTGCCAAATCTTGCTAACAACTTAGCAGATAAATGTCTCTAGAATTGAACCCATCTGCTTCGTCACCCCTACCACCTCTGAGTTAGTTCATCCTCTTCTTTGCTCTCACATGGACTTTGGCCACAGCCTCATGACTGGTTGTCCTGCCACCAGTACATTCTCATTCCAGCCCCATACCTGCATGACTACTAGGTAGCTTCCTAAAATAACAAAATTATCTTTATTATGCCCTTGATTGAAAACCTCTGGTACCTGATCAGCTAGTGCGAGATGTTAATACCAGGCAAAACTGTGCGTGGAGAAAAGGGTAATACATGGGTATCTCTGTAATGCGTGGCAAAAAGGGTAATACATTGGTATCTCTGCCTGCTCAGTTTTCCATAAGCCTAAAACTGCTCCAAAAACTAGTTTATTAACTTAAAACGAAACAAAACCACCCTCCCTCTATGACTTCCCTTTTCCAAACTCCTCATCTTCGCAGCAGGTTACTCACAATCTTCATGTCTGTGCAGCCTCATCTTTCAGTTCCCATCAGACTGAATTTCTCATACAAAACCCTGAATTTCCACAGCTCTACTTCAAACCAACTCACCGCCCTTGTGTGGAATACCCTTCCTTGCTTTTCTCCAGTGGAAAACTTCTATTTGTCCTTCAATTTCCACCTCAGATGTCAATTCTTATTAAAATCTTTCCAGCCAGCTAGTTATTTTTCTCTCTCTGCTCTCATTTTATGTCTTAAGATACAATATTTTAAATGACTTGTTTACACGTCAGGCTTTGTCAGTGTTTATACACTAGAGGGCATGGACTGTTTTTTTTTTTTTTTTTGACAATTTATCCCCAGCACCTAGTACAGAGTAGGCATTCTGTATATGTCTGTTGAATGATGAATGGATGAATGATGAAAAGAGCACCAGCAGCCCATATGACAAATTTATTGCCATGTCTCTGCAGTTGGGAGAGCAACATCATTTAGATGGTCAGGATACCTATCTTGTAGGAGACAAAAATAGATCAAAATTAAAATGCTAGATCTTCCAATATGTGCACCCTTAATATAAAGCATAATGTTGACACTCACTAAATTTTCATTTGCTAACTCAAAATGATTAATAACTAATAAATCTCAGGAGAATTGGATATTTCTGGGCCCGGGCTCTTGAGTAGAATAAATTGTCAAAGTGATGAATGACTAATGTTTTTTTACTTTCAACATATCAGCATTCAAGGATACTGTAGTGCTTCACTCATGCTCACTCAGAAATCCAAACGACTTCTAGTTGAAGGATACTATTACCTTTTTAAGGTTGGTTGTAGCAGAGGTGAGCTGTGATTATAACTGTGGCTTCCAAAGCAAGTGTGCCAGCCTCCAAGTTCAATGCTGCACTTGGATTCTTCACTTAATCTTCATATTGGCTTAATCAATGATGTTTTCCATGGCTGGGGACAGTTTTTCAAGTTGTACACCAGTTTATGTTTTTCAGATCAGCCTCTCTATTATAGTGAGGGTGCTAATAAGTGTTGTTGAGTGAAGTTGTCACAAGACTTGTAGCATAGCCTGGATTTTTCTCTAGCCAGTTAACATCTCAGGATGGCCTTGCTTGGGATGGGGTGGAGCCTAGCTCCAGATCTTCAGTTTAGGTTGACCCTCAACAGGGATCATGCCATCTCGGAAGCATTCATGTTCATGTTGTGCTTGCTCCCTTTGGTCAACCCCAAGTAGAGTCATAAATGACAAGCAGGCCAGGCGCAGTGGCTCACACCTATAATCCCAGTGCTTTGGGAGTCTGAGGTGGGAGGATTACTTGAAGCCAGGAGTTTGAGACAAGCCTGGGCAACAAAATGAGGCCCTGTCTGTAAACAAGTTAAAAATAAAAATTAGCCAGGTGGCATCATGAGCCTATCGTCCCAGCTATTCAGGAGACAGAGGTAGGAGGTTTGCTTGAGCCCAGGAGTTTGAGATTACAGTGAATTACGACTGTGCCACTACACTCCAGCCTGGGCAACAGCAAGACCCCATCCATAACTAAATAAAAATGAACAAATGAACAAACAAAGGAAAAGCAGCTCAAACCGAGAGGTGAATATCGCCCCTCATGTCAATACTGACTCTCACTGAGTTGTACTCAGGAACTCAGAACTCGGGAATTTAGGGTGACTGGAAATTCAGGCACCACTATTCTGATTGTGCACTAAACACAGAATGCAATTCGTGTTCAATGGTAACTAAAAAGAACCACAAAAATGCTATCCTGCCTTCTATGATGTGGAGCTTTGGCACCATTCATAGTGATATGAAACAGATACAATGACAACAGGAATGGCGTGTCACTCTTAGCTTTCATCCTGTGCTCTCCCATGCTGTGTTATTCCCAGGCAAACAAAAGCATTGCACCATGGATCACCTTTATAAGTCATTCCAGGTAACCATCCCTATAAAGAGCCACAAATATATTTCCACCAGACAGGACTTGCCTTAGGTTGAAGGCTGGCTATTTGGCCCACTCGCAAATCTCCTTGACACTTTCCTCCTCATCTAGGAATCATCAGAGTTCTGGGGAAACACTAGGCTGACATTTTAAAATTTCCATTACTCTTTTTGAACAGTCTAGAGTTAATTTTTATGCTGTAGCCAATGTAATCACACACACATATCCGTATACTTCAAATTGCAAACACAATTTTGTTTTATACTTAATTGCATCTCTACCTAGTGAAAGGACTTGAGCACACATTGGCAGCGCATTTATAATCGTGTTTGTTGACATTACTTCTGTTGTCGTACATAAAATTAGCCATGTGTTGTGAGAGATGCCATCGTTATCATTGTTTCATTAGCATGTAGAGGTTGTCTGTTCGTATTTTTAAACATTCATTAATTTGATGTGATGTCATTCTGAGCATAAAACAATGTGTTATATGTCATAGGTGATTAAGCTCCCTAAATCTTGCCTCATCATATAAAATCACTAGCCAGTGCCTAAAACCATTGCGACACATTATAAATCTAAAGATAGAATCAAAAAGCACAATCCCAGCCAGACCCCTAGAAGTGGACCAGGTGTCTATTGGTGAAAGAGACCATTTGAATATAATTTGCACTCAAATGGAAACAACCATTCGTTCAGATCACCTGAGCTTTAACTTTGACCTTTTAGTGGTAGTCCAGGAACAAGAAAAAGTTGCGAAATTTCTTTGATTTTTAAAATGCAGTTGTTTTATAGGGCTCACCACTGGCTTTGTAAAGACTTTTTATTTTTAATTTTTTTTGAAATAGAGATGGAGACGGAGTTTTGCCATGTTGCCCAGGCTGGTCTCGAACTCCTGAGCTCAAGTGATCCACTTGCCTCAGCCTCCCAAAGTCCTGGGATTACAGGCATGAGCTACTGCATGCACCCAGCCTGTAAAGACTTTTTTTATTTTTATTTTTTGAGATGGAGTCTCACTCTATTGCCCAGGCTGGAGTGCAATGGTGCAATCTTGGCTCACTGCAACCTCTGACTCCCAGGTTCAAGTGATTCTCCTGCCTCAGCCTCCCGAGTAGCTGGGACTACAGGCACGCACCACCATGTCCAGCTAATTTTTGTAGTTTTAGTAGAGACGGGGTTTCACCATGTTGGCCAGGCTAGTCTCAAACTCCTGATCGCGTGATCTGCCTGCCTCGGCCTCCCAAAGTGCTGGGAGTACAGGCATGAGCCACCGTGCCCGGCCTATAAAGACTTTTAAGGAAAAAAAGAAACACAATCACATTGGATGTGCACACTGGTACTAAGATCCTACAGGATCCCTGCAATCTAGAAGTTGTGTTTCAGAATCAAGGAAATATGATCAATATTTTACCCAAGTGCCTTCCAAAACTTAGAATTAACTTTCTCATGCAAAAGGTTCTGGAGAGTTTTTCCACTGTGATGCTTCCCATGACTTTGGGCTCTGGTACACTTGGCATTCCTCACTGCAATCTAATTCCAAAGTCAAGTTAAGCCATCATTTTATGTGTAGAGAGTTAAATATGTATTATGCCTGTAGTTAGTGTTTTTATCCCTGCTGGACCCTGATCTTAAGGAGAGAGAGAGCCCTACATCTTTTGCGTCTTTTGTTTTTATTCCCGGAATCCAGCACTGTGCCTAGGACTCTAGGAGCCCTGGAGTACAATGGAAAGAGCACTGGTTTTATTGTCATAGGGGCCTAAATTCAATTCACACACATTACTGCTTGTGTAACATTGACAAAATCACTTTTTGACCTCAGTCTATATTAGTTTTTTCATCTTCAAAACATTGTAATATCTACCTTGGAGGATAATTATCAAAAAGAGACAGAGAAACTAATATGTAAATATTTTGCCTGAAATACATTATTTGCTCAAGAAATATTGGTATGATTATTGCTGTTGTTACTGTTAACAGATAAATATCTGCTCAAATTTGCTGAAAGTTTCCAAATAAACTTAACGGATGGTGAACAAAGAGAGGAGAGATCAAGAGAATAACTAAACTTGTTTTTGTCCTGCCTCCAATTTACCTGACAATGAGTACAGTGAAGCATAAAGTGTTTTAGACTCATAAACCTGTGAAAATTTCCAATAAATTGTAGAAGGCTTAAAATCCACATGGATGGAACATTTCGTACCGTTAGCATTGTGAAACTTAAGCTGCTTCTTTCTTCCCCAGTGTGAATCACTCATCAGTTTAAAAGAGCAGATTAAGAACTTTTAAAAATCTGTCATCTGAAATAAACTGTCAAGGAGTCTGACTTTGCAGTGATGTTAATGAATGTTTTTCATTATCTCTTCATTAATGGTAATCCATTCATTATTAAGTTTTTGCTTCTCTTCCTGTTCCTATTTTCCCTGCCAGGCACTATAAGGAGTGAGGCAGAATGCAATATTGAAATAAATTTGTAGCTACATTATAATTCATAAATTGTAGAATTATGGTGAATGTAAAAGTACTGTCATTATCAAAGTGCCCCTTTGAACAAGGCCAAGGCCAGGCCAAGGTGAAGTAGGAGCAAAATAAACAAAAGAAAGAAAGTAGCTGTAAGAAGGTGTACATTTCTATGTCAAGCAGCTTTTGGGGATGGATGGGGATTATGCTGTAAAATTCAAGGGACTGGAAAATAGAACCCCTAATAATAACTGCTACCACTTTTGAGTGATTAATCATGTTTCAAACACTGTACAAAACATCTCATTTAGCTATAAGTCAGCCTTTTGAGTTGGATACTGGGTTTGGCATTTGATTTTGGTACTACTATCCTTGCTTGATACATGAAGTTTAGACAAATTAAGGCACTTGTCCCCAGTTCAGAGCTAGGACTAGGGTGAGACAAATGAGACACTTAGGGTGCAGACTTTCAGGATGTGCCCGTTCTCACATTGGTGCAGTGCACCTGGGAATGGGCACCTCCTTAAACCAAGCACCCTAAGCTTGTCACTTGCTTCACTCTATCCCTGCCCTGCCATGATCACACAACTAGAAAGAAAATGGCCAAGTAATTTTTTAGATCAGGTCCAAAGTTCATGTTCTTGACCACTTTGTTAGGAACCAGCACAGGCATTCACACCCAGCTTTCTGGAGAATAAATTCGATAACTAATGAGTATCTACCAATGCTGGGCACAGGGCTGAGTGTGCAGGACACACAGAAATGAAAAAGACAGTCCTTGTCTTCAAGACTAAAATGCTAGTGCACTGTGAAACACTGACATCCTACCCATGCTGGAGGGAAGGATGGAAGGAAGGAAGGAAGGAAGGAGGGAAGGAAGGAAGGAAAGAAGGAAGGAAGGAAGGGGAGGGAGGGAGGGAGGAGGGAAAGGAGGAAGGAGGAAGGAAGGAAGGAGGGAAGGAAGGAGAAGAAGGAAGGGAGGAAGGGAGGAAGGAAGGAAGAAAGGGAGGAAGGAGAGGGAGGGAGGGAGGGAAGAAGGAAGGGAGGGAGGAGGGAAAGGAAGAAGGAGGAAGGATGGAAAGAAGCAAGGAGAAGGAATGAAGAAGGGAAGGAAGGAGAGGGAGGGAGGAGGAAAGGAAGGAAGGAAGAAGGAAGGGAGAGAAACAGGGAGGGAGGGAAGAAGGAAGGGAGGGAGGGAGCAAGGGGGAAGGAAGGAAGGGAGGGAGAGAGGGAGGCAGGAAGGCAAGAAGGCTGGTCCATGCATTGCTGTGTATTGCATCTCAGTGTTGTCTGGCTCTAGTGCCAGCAGGCCTTGTGAAAAGGGCCCTTACTCTCTCTCAGATTCATTCTCCACATCTGCAAATAAGAATGATGGTGCCTGTGCTATCCACATCACAAAGTCACAGTAAAAACAAGTATCAAAAGGAGATGATCACTTTGCTTTGTGGCACTATAAAGCAGAGAACATCTGTGAGCTACTTTTATAAGGAATACCCCATGTCATTTGCAGAACATTGAATGGGGAGTTGGGATCCCTGGGTTCTAATTTCTGGGTTGCCTTTTATTGGCAGTATGACCTCACAAAGGACTCTTCTCCTTGCAAGATCTTGCTTCCTCATTCATTAAATGGGAAAATTGGAATAAAAAATGACTCTAAGACTTCATAATTGTGACTGAAGTATTGAGGGTAATGTTTAGCAAAAGCATGTAAAATTATTCATAGCTCTGTCTTATTTTACGTAGATCAGTACACATTAATAATATTGGCTTTAGAGAACTGCATGCAGTGTATGGTGCTGGAGCCCAGGGAAAGTAAAGCAAGGGCATGTGAGTTAGCTTGTGCAGAGCCATCAGCATCCATAAAGGAATAAAGCAAAGTTCTCATCCTAACCTAAAATGAGAGTTTGAATATGCATGGAACAGCTAGATCGTGTTTAGAAGTCACATCCATAAACATGGAGATGGAAACAAGAACATATATCTCCTAGCTGATTCTCCATGCATTGATTTCAACTTTCCATTTCACTCCTCCTACTATCCTTTACCCATTCATTTTCAATAGTGTGCATTCCTAGTCAGTGGGTGGTAAGAAGGAGTATGGAAGTAAATACCTTCTAAGTAGATCTGAAGGACTTACTAGTTGCTTACTAATTCACTAATTCTATGAAGAAATTATCTGCAGCTCTGAAGAGGTATACATTATCCACTGAGACCATTGTCTATTAAGATTGGCATTGCCTTTGGAGTCAGGGTACAGGAATTAAAAGGAATAGCACCTCCTCCCACAACCCACCCTATTCCTAGAACTCTGCATCAGACCCCGGAGTAAATTGAAAGAACTATATTCCTTTAGTAAATACTTACTGAATGTTTTCTACAGACACTATGTCAGGAGATATGTAATCTGCCATAATTCTGATTGCAAAAATCCCCCATGCAATTTTGATTACAAAAATAGAATCCGAAACAGAGCCTTCCTCCATAAATCTATTGCCTGTGCAGCTAGGAATAGTTACAGAGACTTCCAGTAACTCAAAAGTTAATGCAAAGGAGACTAAGGATGTGCCCAAACTAGAAGAGATGAGAGGAGACAGGGGTCTAGATATGACTGACAAGTCTTTATCAAAGGTCATGGAAATGAATCTATCCCAAAGGACCTATGCTTTAATAATAAATAGTAAAAAAGATGTATGATTGAGAATTTACTTTGAAAAATGAATCTATGTAAGTTAATGTCATCCTCTAATGAAATTTAGGATAAAATATTACATGCTATAATTTATAGAACACAAAATAATTTTCACTAAAAATAATTTTGCAACAAATATTATGATAGCACAATGCAATATCCTTGACATCATGCATGACTTCTGCAGCATGATCCAAAAGAGAATCGCATTTGCTAAATTTTTTGAGAACCCCCTCCATTTTCCTAATACCAATACTTTGATATTGAAATTATTTCCATGGAAGCATCTATCTTATCATTATCCTTGCCAATTCTTTTTTTCCTTCTCAGTTACAAATGAATCTCTTTCAGAAGCTCATGATTCACTAGTTTTGCAGTTCTCCCCCATCATTTTCACTAACTTCAAGAAACCATGCATTCTTCACCAGATTTGCTCTTTCCCTTTGCAATTGATTTTAATTGTGTTGTCAGGTAACATTAGACACGAATGAGAAACCGATCTTCAAAGACAGGATAGGCCTGAAGAGGCAGTAGTGTAAGGAAGTGAGAGAGATGATGACTAATTTTATAAGCAGTAGGTTCATGTGTCACATGTTGATATTACAATGATTGTTTGCCTCTCTAAACACCACCATAAAGGTGGAGGTTTGGATAATGAAGAGCTTCTGTTCGTGGTAATAAGGTAACATTCTAAAGTAAACTGAATATCAAACACTTTAATTTACTAATTCAATCTTGAAAGACATGATCTCCAAATACAAACTGTGCTTTTTGTTGCTGTTGTATTGGGGTAAGTTTTGGAGGCAGTAGTTTAGATGATATAAAATATTTGCCCTTAAAGCTAAATTGACCTACTTTATAAACTGCTGAGACTATGTGTTTCTAGATAATACATGTGTATGTATGTAAATACATATATACATAAATATATTTACATATAGGCACAGATAAACGTGTGTGTCCATACATATGCCAACATGTGTTAATTTGTAATTATATTTAGGTTATTTAAAGTAAATGCAAACAACAATTCAAGCTTTATTATTGGTCTTATGTGTGTTTCTACAAGCAACCATCCCAAACTGGTTAAATTTTCTATTGACACTGATTTGCCCATCTTTTGGCAATGCACTAATTTCCATGAACTCTTAATGAGATATACAATGAGATTTAAAATTTTAAACTATATGCCGGGCACGGTGGCTCACGCCTGTAATCCCAGCACTTTGGGAGGCCGAGGTGGGTGGATCACAAGGTCAGAAGATCGAGACCATCCTGGCTAACATGGTGAAACCTTGTCTCTACTAAAAATACAAAAAATTAGCTGGGCAAGGGTGGCAGGCACCTGTAGTCCCAGCTACTCGGGAGGCTGAGGTAAGAGAATGGCATGAACCCAGGAGGCAGAGCTTGCAGTGAGCCGAGATCACACCACTGCACTCCAGCCTGGGCGACAGAGCGAGACTCTGTCCCGGAAAAAAAAAAAAAAAAAATTTAAACTATAGTAAGTAATCATTTTTGGCAGTTGCTTACACTCATTTGGACCCAACTTTAAAATGAAGAAGTGGTTTTTCTTACGTATTTGTATTGCAAATTGATGATCATAATGAAAATAGACATATTTTCAACTCATTTCATTAGCATTACCCCTCAATACATACCATTTATGACAGAAATCATCTGTGAGAAGCTCATTATGCCAGCATGGATTGTTTTTCTGGTTTTGATTCACATTCAGATCCATCACCTAAGTTTCTTATTTATCTTGGCATATGCTTTCCTGGCAGTGGCTGCTAAAATGCACACACAGCAGATGTCATTTGTATTTTATATACAATCGAATATCTCATAAGAAATGTGCAATGCAAACTTCAAGAACAAACATCTCCCAACAACTCCAACAACTTTATCACCTTTCTGTTGAGGGCTCAACTGACTTGTTGATTCAACATGGTTATGTTGTGATATTAGCTATAGGTTCAAAGTAAATTTTTTTCTGCCATCTTTTTCCTCTAGGTTATGAATATATTGGTCATCTAGGTCAGCAAGTCTTAATATTTTGGACCCTGTTCATCATCTCGTTAAACCTAAGAACACTCTTTCATATGACATACACACAAAAAGTTGGATAAAATTTTAATAACTTAATGTCTTTCTAAGGTACGAAACTGTTCTAAGAGAATACCTTCTATATCATATAGCAATTGTGAAGATTATATTAGATGATGTGCATAAAACTTCTAGCCCATAGAGTGGGATTTAACAGATTTGCAATAAATATTGGTACATTTTCCCCATTCCTCTTGTTATTCAGAATTCATATCTTATTTCAAAGGTCCTGGATTTGGCTGGTGACTAAATGCAATTCCACTAGTAAAACTTAAAAATAGTTTCCCATCTTGCAATTTACACTGATATTACAGAAAGCCCAGAATTCAACTCCAAAGGTGAGTAACATGAAGTATCAGAGAACAAAATGGCCTGGGAGCTCCCATTTCTCTGCTCCCCCAAAAGCAGTCTCCCATTTCCCTGCAACCCAAAGCAGAAATAGGAAAAAAAAATTTCAGGGGCCTGTCTCTCGTGTATCTTCAAACTCTGCCACTCCACTTTCCATCCTAACATGAACCCTGCCTGGCCCTCAAGCCATTATCACCTATCTCTTTTCCTTTCTTCACTAATATCTCTGAAAATAGTCTATATTCCGTCTTCCACGTTCTTCCTTTAAATTCACATGCCATCCCCTCTGCAGTGTGGCTTTTGCCTTTACCTTGCTACTGAAGCTTCTTTGGTTATGTCCCCTCTGAACTCCTAAATGCTGCCTCTCAGACCCCTTACTACTAGATAGAACTCTGTGCAGCTAATGGCCCAATGCCCTGACTTCTTCCTCGTCTAGAATTATGGCTACCATTGATGCCTTCATTCTTTCCAGTGTCTCTCTTGGATCTTCTCCACCATTTGGGTTTTACATTTTTTCCCTTTGACTCTTGTCTTTTCTCTCAGCCCTTTGTTTACATTTCCTAAGATTTTTGTCTTAGATGCTCTTCTCTTCTGGTTACATACCCTCTCTGGGGAATCTAGTCAATTCCCATGGCTTCAGTTCTACCCTGTTAACCAATGACTTCCAAATCTATAACTTGATTCCTCACATGAATTCTAGATCCATATCTATGTTTGGATACCCTACAGTTACTTCGAATTCCTTTTTCTCCCAACTTGTGTTACTTGTCCACGGTCCAGGCTCCACCTGCTCCACCCTGTCTCACAACATCAACATTCACCAAACCTCCTGACTCATATCCTTGTCCCCATAGAAAGCTGCCCATCAAGTCCTGAAGATTCCGCCTTTGTAGCATTTCTGGCTTTGGCAGCTTCTCCATCACAATCTGGTATGGACCCTCATTCCTCCCAACAGGATTTATAGAGTGACTTTCTCTTCTGATTCTCTGTTTACAAATCCGTCTTACAAATATCTAGCAGAGGCTATGCTCCAGCAGAGCTGATCATGAGCTCACAGTACTTACAGACAAAAGACCAATCTCTTTTGTGCAGCATTTAATCCCTACATGCGCTGGTCCTGGTCCTGCCTGGCCTCATCTTTGAAGTCACCAAGTCTTTTCATGCCTCTGTGCCTTTGTTTAGCTCTCATTTCTGCCAGCTCCTGCAAGCCTTAGTTAAATCTAGTCAATTGCTTAGGATCCAGCTCAGATGTCACCTTCTCTGTAAAGATTTATTTCACTTTTCCGCAAGCAATACAGTAATCACAACTTTGCTAATGCTGCTGGCATAGCACATATCACCCTGGGTCATCATGTGCAGTTATTCAGATTGTTTGCTGAACAAGGACACCTAGCCTAGAGGGCAAGGGTCTAAAATCCAGGCGAGTGGCAGAAGGGAGCATCTATTTTTCTAATTCACATAAAGGTGCAATATAGAGTATGGTGACCCAGTACTTCAAAAGGGACTTTAGTTTAGTGCTCCCTGAGGACATCTGCCTCTCTAGACTATAAACTCTTTGGGGCTAGGTCTTCTTTGTCTTTATATCTTCAATGTCTAGCACACTTTCTTGCATGGGCTTGCAAAGATGATCAGTTTTGGAAGATTAACAACAACAACAATAATACTGTATAAGCATTAAAAAAATCTCTTATATTGTAGGAACAACTCTAAGTGCTTTGCATGGATCATCTCAGTTGCCACATTAAGCCTATCAAGAAGGTACTATTAGTATTCCCATTTTGTGGATTATAAAACTGGTGCTTGAGGAAACTCAGTTATTTGCTTAAAGTCACACGGCCAGGATTTGAATCCAAGTCTGTTTAATTCCAGAATCTGGGCCCTTAAACACTATAGCAAACAGCATAGGTACCATGCATGCATACACCAAAAAAGAATTCACATGCCCGTGATGACAATGCCTGGGGCTCAGGACCATTTGAGAATCTAAAGTGTTTTTATAGAATGCAGTCTGCTGAAGAGCAAACCCAGAGGCATCCTGATGTCCACCTATAAAAAGATAGACATAACCTTTCTGCACAGGAACAGGGCGAGCTCAGCCCCTGCTGTCTCATGAGAGTCTAAGAGGAATTATCCTCCCGGCAGGTTAGCACTGCACAGAGTTAAGAGGGCTGCACCTCCGATTGCTGACCGTGGGTGTCTCTTGCTCTGCCACCAGCATTGTTTCTCTCTCACCTGTTTTGAATGGCAGCCAGGTTGTCAGCTCACATTCAATTTCTGGCATAGCCACTCTGAATAAGCCATGGAGCCCCTCTGTCGACTCAGACTAGGAGGGGCAGCACAGCTATCCATCATCCCAGGGTGATCATGCCAGTCCCAGCATGCCCCCCAATTTCACCCAGGGCTCATTAACACGTAGAACAGGAGATGCGGCAGACACCTCCTGAGAGAAAGGCCTGCTGAAGGATGAGCAATCATCTTCAAACAACCATGGGAGAAGGGCAAGATCTCTTTCCAAAGCTGTTTTCGCTATGTGTGTTAGAAGCCACGGTTGGTCCTTATGGCAGGCTGCTGAACGAAACCCCTCAAAATGCCCGGCACGTTCAACGTTCATCCCACCACCTACGAACGGGACTGGCTTGAAATTAACCCCTAGGGTTCTAGGTAGTCCTAGAAACTAGGGCATGATGGGATTTGTCTTTCTTTTATCTTCAGAATCCTGGTTTAATTTCTACCTTTTCCTCAAAGCCTGCTCCAGCCCTGAAGGATTGCTTCCTCTTCCGAGTTCACAGAGTATTTGCATCTGTGCAACTTACTTGAAAATTGCAATTCATTCCATCTGTCCATCCACCCACCCACCCACCCATCCATCCATCCATCCATCCGTTCATGTGGTGAGCCCTGAAGTTGTCCTATGTGGCAGGCATCGTGGTAGGGGGCAGGACAGAGAGAAAATTAAAGCTCTACTCATATTCTCAAAGGGAGAGCCCAGCCCCCTGGGCAAGGCAGATAGGTGGACAGGAAAATTCAATAGAGGGTGTTTGAGTCTATAACAAAGACAGGCAAAGGTGCTATGTTCATCCCCTAAGGCAGGACTAAAGAAAGGTAACACTGAGGAAGGATACATGAGTCTCGAAGGAGAAGAGAGGGAAGCGAGGTGATTCAGGAAAAAGCTCCTTAAATCAGAATGTCTGAGTGTCGGAGCAAGGCATTGGTGTTTTTTCAAAGATCTCCAGGCAATTCCAATGTGCAGCAAAGTTTGAGAAATACTGCTTTAGAGAACTATGCTAAGCAAAGCCGGATCAGCTCCATTTCGGAGTTCATGTTCCACCCTTTACCTCCAATCCCCCTCACCTGGGATGGCTCACAGCCAATGCATGATCAACTGGCACAGAGGAACAAAAGGAGGGACCCCTTGCCTAAAGCTGGGACCAACTCTGAGAGGCAATTTGTGCTTCAGAGTTTCCCCACGTGGTTAGGCTGCAGCTAGAATCCAGCTAAGATCTCATCCTTGGTGTAGCCGCTTCTCCTGCCCTAACCTACTCCTCCTACCTACTCCCTTGCTTCGAGAGCGTTTATCTAGTAAGTCACGTTCACCCGAATCTCTGTTCTGTCCTCTGCTTTGGAGCACCTGACTCCAGAGACCCCAGTCCTTCAAACTGTTCATCACAGAAATTTGATGTGGATTTATTGGCAGTGATGGTTAAATTTCCCAGAGAGAGGAACTATAAGCTCTCAAATGTTATCCTCAGATGATGCATTGGCCCTTTATTGGAAGAACTTGAAGGACCATGGTTTAATCCAAGGAAGACACAACAACAAGGTGACTCTCAGGCTTGAAACAGACAAATGCAAAGAACAAATGACTCATTGTTCCTCAGTCACACCACTTCAATAGCTGCCAATCTCACCTCTTTTGAGGACTGTTTATTCACAGCCAAAGCCTGGAACTTCTTCACTGTGTTACCTTGGTTTAGAAAAATGCACCCAGCATCCCTAGATAATATTTTGGAATAGTTTCTAACTGATCAGCCTCTACTGAGATTGCTCCTTCATTCAAGCGTGTCAGAAATAATCATTTTAATTTTCTATGAATGCCTTCATGGCACTTCCTGCTTGCGTAACCATTGTTTTAAGATGTTATTGCAAATGACAGTCTTTTGAGACTCCAGCATAGCTATTGTCTACAGAATTTTTTTGCACCACTTTTTTTAAAAATAAAATATTTTATCCCCTAAATACTGCAGTATCTTAGTTAATCTCCCAACACTGCCTGTAAACAGAAAGAACTTTTTTTTTTTTTTTAGATGGGGATCTTGCTCTGTCACCCAGGCTGGAGTGAACCTGGTGCAATCATGACACACTGCAGCCTTGACCTCCTTGGCTCAAGCGATTCTCCCACCCAGGCCTTCTGAGTAGCTGGGACTATAGGTGTGTGCCCCAACACCTGGCTGATTTGGGGGAATTATTGTGGAGACGGGGTCTTGCTCTATTATCCAAGTTGGTCTTGAACTGCTGGGCTCAAGCAGTCCTCCCACCTTGGCCTCCCGAAATGCTGAGATTAGAGGTGTGAGCCACTGCGCTGGCCAAGAGAATTTTTTTGGGTGTGTGGAGAACCTCTTTGGGGATACATGGAAAGAAAGAGAAGTTCCTAAGAGCTGAGGCTAGGTCCTCAAACAATTACACCAGTACTTGGATAATCATTGTCTTTGTGCTGTTATAACAGAATTGTGTACAGCGTTGCCAGCCACATCTGCCCTCAGTGTTAACTTGTTCCCCAGAAAGTCATCGCATCTTATCCTAGGTGGTGAGTCACTGCAGAAGAGAGCACAGGAGCCTGAATCCAAGACTCTAACTGGTTGGAAGGGCTGGAAATAAACATCAACTCAAGGCCAGTTGGCAAGTAATTCAGTAGGAGAAAGGGTGTATGGGTACCATGAATCTAAAAGGGTGTATGAATACCATGAATCTAGACGTTTCAGCTGAATCTTGAGTCCAGAAAGGTGACAAATGAGCCGGGCACAGTGGCTCATGCCTGTAATCCCAACACTTTGGGAGGCCAAGGTGGGCAGATCACCTGAGGTTAGGAGTTCGAGACCAGCCTGACCAACATGGTGAAACCCCATCTCTACTAAAAATACAAAAATTAGCTGGGCATGGTGGCACATGCCTGTAATCCCAGCTACTCAGGAAAGCTGAGGCAGGAGACTCACTTGAACCTGGGGAAACAAGAGCAAAACTCTGTCTCAAAAAAAAAAAAAAAAAAAAAAAGAAGGTGACAAATGCACAGGACAGCCATGTAGGCAATTTTAGTGGTCAAGGTAAAGGCTAAGCGTCTATAACAAAGAGGCTTTAAAATATAGTGGCTTAAGATCGAAATTTGCTTTTCTGTCACATTAATAGCCTGGAAGAGAGTGGTCCAGTGCCATCCTTAACAAGTGGTTTCTGGTATTTCTCCAACGATTGTGACTTTTCAGAGAGTGAGAAGGAGGTAAAGGAAGTTTGGGGAAGTATCTTTCTCCTTCAAGAAGATAACCCAAAAGTTACATACATTATTTTGGTTCATCTCCTTTTAGCCTAAGTTTAGTCTCAGGGTCATACCTACCTGCAGGGAAAGTTGGCAACTGTAGTTATAAGCACAATAGCTATGTGTCCAGCTAAATTCAGGGGGCTCTGTTATGCAAAGAAAGAGGTCAGCAGTCACTACCATGGCAAGTTAATATAAATGTCCAGAGACCCAAAATAAATCCAGGAGAAAACTGGAGGTGCAGTCTAAGTAAGCTCATACTGTGGGGCATTGCTTATGTAAATAGCAAATACATTTTTTAAGTCTGGATTGATGGGTGAATGAGTAGATGATAAATGGGATGACTGCTCACGTCAGCATCCGGGGACTTTAATTAAACAGCGGTGATAGTCACAAAGCAGAATCACACAAACATTCACATAAGTAAAAAAGGAGGGGAGTGTATGCCCTGAATTGCCCTCGTATTCTTTCTGTTAGTGCAGGCAAGCAGAGGATGGCAAATGTGTGCTAAGGAAAGGGCTTAACATGCATTTCAATTGTGGTCTCAACAGCTCACAGCTGGGAGGTTCAGCCAGCTGAGACCCAGGCCAATACCTTGGTACTCAGATTTCACTCAG
Source organism: Homo sapiens (assembly GCF_000001405.40). Lineage (NCBI taxonomy): Eukaryota > Metazoa > Chordata > Mammalia > Primates > Hominidae > Homo > Homo sapiens. The sequence continues at coordinate 12,931,900 of NC_000006.12, forward strand.
ATAGTAAGAGTCTTCCACTCTCAGCATCTCTTCCTCTATAGACCGGTGGTTCCAAGAGTATGGTCCCAGACCAGCTGTATCAGCATCATCTAGTAATGCATTAGAAAAGCAGATTCTCAGGCCCACCCAAGACCTACTGAATCAGAAATGCTGGAGGTAGGACCCGAAATCTGTGTTAAATAAGTCTTCCAGATTATTCTGATGCACATTCAGTTCTGAGGACCACAACTCTCGACAGTGACTTTGCTTCAATAACCTGTTTCTCCTGCCTGCTACTGAGGCCATTACCACTTTATATCTTCGGAGAGAAGCAGTGAAGCCCATGAATGTAGCTTGGTTTCTCCTGGATCTCACAAGAACAGACTGACAGATCTGGTCCTAGAATCCTAGTCTAGGAAGGAATTTGGAAAAAAAATTTCTCATTCATCAGCCTGTCTCTATGCCAGTAAATATGTAAGCCCTCCAAGATAGCAAGTATGGCCAATGCTATTCCCAAATATCTCCAAGGATAAAAATCATTAAGTGTTCCTTGTTATCTACTTCCAATGTCTAGTCAATATATAGGCCTTTTAAAAAAATAACCAAACTCCTTCTATTTATAATATAAGTCTACTTATTCTTGAATAATCTTGTCAAGAAATCCTCAATCTTAGATCATTCTGGTTATTGTTTGTATACACAAAGACGCTTTAAATCATTGTCATATTCATAAAGACACATTAAATCATTGTCTATTCTTCTCTCTTAAGCTAAACAATTCTGACCCCTTAAACAATATCTTTTAATTCCGAATGATCCCAGTGGTTTCCTAAGCTTTTGTCTGCATTATCTCATTAATCCATAGAGTAACCCTAAGAAGTAGAAGCTGCTACTTTACCCCATTTTATACATGAAGAAACTGAGGTTCAGTAAGTTAAACAACTGACCTTGGTTATGGAGCTTAGAAATGACTGGGCCAAAATTCATAAGCAGAGAGTCTCTACCTTTGCTATTATGTATCTAACTATACAGCCAGCATTTAATTTATTCCAAATCTTTTTTTTTTTTTTTTTTTGAGATTGAGTCTCACTCTGTCATGTAAGTTGGAGTGCAGTGGCACCATCTTGGCTTACTGCAATGGACGCCTCCTGAGTTCAAGTGATTCTACTGCCTCAGCCTCCCAAGTAGCTGGGATTACAGGCACGCGCCACCAAGCCCGGCTGATTTTTGTATTTTTAGTAGATATGTGGTTTAGCCATGTTGGCCAGGCTGGTCTTGAACCCCGGACCTCAGGTTATCCCTTATCCCCCTGTCTCGCCCTCCCAAAGTGCTGGGATTACAGGCATGAGCCACTACACCTAGCCTTATTCCAAATCTTGATGAAGTAATGGTTTCATATTTTTCTTAGTGTAGGAAATTCAATGGTAAGTTATATGCTTTAAATGTCCTACAAATAACTGCATACAGAAGAATAATTATATAAATTAAAATGTTCATGGAAAAGGACATATTTAATAAACTAGATGTTTAAAGGGATAATTTTAAAAACAATCTCCATATAATCATAACATAAGGATCCAAATGACACCAAAACAAGGAGAAACTAGAAGATGGACACAAAGGCAGCAAACAGATCGGTTAGAACTGATGACTATTTAATATAATGGATCTCGCCAGGGTGATTCTTCTTGTTATCTCTTTGTTATCTGACCTGGGCTCACACCTTAATGTCTTCATGTTTCCACAATGTCCAGGCGTTTCCCTTTTTGGGGATATGGATGAAGCAAGAATGGGACCAGCAGTGCCAACTCTTGGGCGTCCTCTTGGGCTCGAACTGTGTTCCCTGGAAAACCACGGCCTCCTGAAGACAGCCCCTACATACACTACATCAGCCCACATCTGCTCAGGCCCCAGTACAGGTGGACAATTCTCTACTCAGGGTATGAGCCCTGTTCAAGGAGCTAAGAGAAGGAGGGTGGTTTGGCTGCCTTTAGAGGGGGAAGAGTTTGGCTGAGAGGACATTTACTCTTTGGTCCATATGGGAAGGGAAAATGCGGGTTGGCGTGTGTATTCATTTCCTAGAGTTGCTGTAACAAAGTACCACAAACTACATGACATAAAACAATATCAATTTGCTCTCTGATGGTTCTGGAGTCTTGAAGTCCCAAATCAAGGTGTTGGTGGGGCCACGGTCCTTTTGCAGGCTCTAGGGAAGAACCTTCTTGTGTCTTCCAGCTTCTGGCAGCAGTTGGCAATCCTTGGTGTTAACTGGGCTCAAAAATGCATCACTCCAATCTCTGACCCCGTCATCCCATGGCTGTCTCTCTCTATGTGTTCACATTATCTTTCCTTTGTCCAGGTCAGTCTCTGGGGCTCTTCTCTTCTTATAAAGTCACCAGTCAAATTATATTAGGACCTAACCTAACGACCTTGTTTTAACTTGACTATATCTATAAAGACGCTATTTCCAAATAAAGTCACATTCACAAGTACTGGATGTTAGAATGTCAACATATCTTTTGGGAGAACACAATTCAACCCATGTCAGTGTGTAAAATTTACTCCATGGCTCTGGAGTGATGGTTTTGAGGAGCTATCAGATCTGCATCATCTCTCCCAGGACTGTAACAGAGCATGCATTTACTCACCAGATGTGTTAAAACTCCATTTAGTAGGGCCGGGTGTGGTGGCTCACGCCTGTAATCCCAGCACTTTGGGAGGCCGAGGCAGGTGGATCATTTGAGGTCAGGAGTTTGAGACTAGCCTGGCCAATATGGTGAAACCCCGTCTCTAATAAAAATACAAAAATTAGTCGGGTGTGGTAGCACGCGCCTGTAATCCCAGCTATTCAGGAGACTGGGGCAGGAGAATCGCTTGAGCCTGGGAAGCAGAGGTTGCGGTGAGCCAAGATCATGCCACTACACTCCAGTCTAGGTGACAGAATGAGATCCTCTCTCAAAAAAAAAAACAAAAAAAAAAAACTTTAATGAGCACTTACCAGCTAATAACCGGGTACACGTTTGTACTGCACTATAAGAGATTGCTCAAGATGTACAAGACCCTGTCTCTATTTTCAATCCCAGCTCTATCCCTCACCAGGTCATGTACCATCAACTCTCTGTGCCTCACTTTCTCTATCTTTAAAATGGGGATAGCTGTGGCACTTTCTTCATATGGTTGCTGTGAGGATTAAATGAGATAATAGACACTGTGGGGGGCCATAGCAAAGCTCAATAAATATTACCAGTTGCTATTACTATATTCTAAGAGCCTATAATTTAATGTGTGAACCAAACACCTCCACGGTGTGAAGAACAAACAAGGACCAAAAGTATGATGTAACTTATACACTGATGTTATTTTATTTTTATTTTTATTTTTTTAAGACCGAGTCTCACTCTGTCACCCAGGCTGGAGTGCAGTAGTACAATCTCGGCTCACTGCAACCTCTCCCTCCCTGATTCAAGCGATTCTCCTGCCTCAGCCTCCCGAGTAGCTGGGATTATAGGCGCCCAACACCACACCCAGCTAATTTTTGTATTTTTAGTAGAAATGGGGTTTCACCATGTTGACCAGGCTGGTCTCGAACTTTTGACCTCAAGTGATCTGCCTGCCTCGGCCTCCCAAAGTGCTGGGATTATAGGCATGAGCTACTGCACCTGGCCTACACTGATGTTATAACAAAGAAGTTCAGACAAAGAAAATAGCATCTCAGACAGTGACATAGTATGTTATTTATGGTATGCCCACGTGTGTGTGTGTGTGTATGTGTGTATGTAAATGTATGTTTTGGGGTTTTGGGGTAGTGTGGTAGGGGAGCAGTAACCTGGAGGAAGGGATTCTTTCCTGAGACTCATGAAGAACCTAGGGCCCTTTCTTTCTTATTGTATTTCCATCTAACCACATGGTTTTTGCAAAGCCCCAAGGACTAGCTGGGTTCTGTGTTTGGCCCTTCACTCGTGGGAGCTGTGAGCCTGTGTGCATGCAAGCATAGACTCCTGAAAAATCTGTTAGTCCTGTGCATTGAACCGGGCAGTCATCTCATGGCTGGGAGGTATGTTTTCTCATTTTGTCTGAAACCTAATGTTCTCACAACCTACTCAAACTCCCTGCTCACCTAGAGCTTTTGATCAAGGCTACTGCCTAATGATTTCAGCTTGAGTGTCATTAAAAAAAAAAAAACAGATAATCTTGTTGCCCTCTTGAAGATATATACATATTTGCAACAAACAATGAGTGTTGATATAGCACCAAAACAAACAAAATCCATCCAAATCCCTTATGTTACTTTAGGATTTTAGGAAGAGTCTCATTTTTCACTTCAAAGTAGTCTAAAGTAATTTTCCACAGCTAGAATTTCTTTATTCAGAATCAAACATGGATCTGGAGTTGTGCTAGCCACCTATCCACTTATCTATACCAGTATAATAATAATTTTAATATTAATTGATTAATCTAGCCTGAGGCACTGAAGTGTCTGCACACAAAATTAGAATGTAATTGCAACAATAAAGAAATCAAATGAGATAATTAAAACATAAAAGATGACAAATGCTAACTCAGGAAGTCTTTTGTACGCACTGAAACACTTGCCACTCATTTATATGGCGTTGTTTGCAGATTGCTAAGGAGAAGGTTCAAGGTAGAATAATTTAAGTGACTGTTTACATCTGAGTGTGTTACACTCACATGAGGATTGATGGCAATACAATTTTAGATCCAAGCACATGTTCCATAGGATATTGTTTTGGTGCATTAATGCACTTTTCACATTTTTCCTAAAGCAACAAACTTGAAGAAATAGCATCTATAGGAAATGCGGCAGCAGGAGGACAAGGCAGGAGACTGCAAGCAGGTCAAGAATTAGCTCCTTTGAGATTTAGGCATGTAATTTGCATTCACAAAATTAAAAAGAAGGCAAAAAGACAGTTGTGGTAAGTCTTGAGTAACCCAAAACAGAACAAATTGGCTGCAGTTTCGAGGGCCACTGGAGGCCTGGGATGACTTTTTGCCCTAGACTTAACTTCCTTTCAGTCTTTTTTCTCATTGACTATTTTTTTAAAGTGTCTGAGGATGAGTCACATCAGAGCCAATGTATTTCCAAGTTTCCAAAACTTAAGATTTCTGTTCTTTGTTTATCATTTAAGGAACAGTTTCAGGCCCCGGTCTTATTTTCTCAAATATCTTATTCAGCCTATGCAGTCTCTTACTCCCACAGAGCCAGGAATAAAATGAGATTAAGACTTCACTGATCTAACCGATTTCAGGTCTTTTTTTCTGCCCAGCCACCTTTCTGTGTTAGGCTAGCTGCATGGAATCATAGGGGTGCATAAACACGTGGTCACCTTCAGCAACAGAACCACACAAAGACAATAATAAAAATGGCCACAACCACACTGCCACCATCTCAAAGGAAGGCCCTTGAAGATAATGCAGTCATTCATTTATTCAACACCCAACACATACTAATTGAGTGGATTTTTTTTTTTTGACGGAGTTTCACTTTTGTTGCCCAGCTGGAGTGCAATGGCGCAATCTCAGCTCACTGCAACCTCCACCTCCTGGGTTCAAGCAATTCTCCTGCCTCTGATTGAGTGAATTTTATATTTCAGTGAGCCAAACAGACAAAGTCCCTAGCCTCAGAGGGCTTATGTTCCAGGGGAGGGATATAGAGAGTAAACAAATAAACAAGCAAATATATAATATGTCAGGTGGCGGTAAGAGTTATGAAGAAAGATAAAACAGGGGCAAGGTCTAAAGAGTGACTGGGAAAGGGCTACTATTTTAGAGAGTGTGGGCAGAACAAAAGCTCCCAGAGAGGGTGCTGAGTAGCAATCTGGAAACCTGTATGAATTGCTTTATGTTAATATTCTTTAAATAGACTGATGAACTTAAATTTTATGAAAACACAATGCAATGCAAAAGATAAAACAGAATCCTGGCTGGGCTCCGTGGCTCAGGCCTATAATCCCAGCACTTTGGGAGGCAGAGGCATGCTGATCACTTGAGGTCAGGAGTTCAAGACCAGCATGGCCAACACGTGAAATCCCATCCCTACTAAAAATACAAAAAGTAGCCAGGCATGGTAGCACATGCCTGTAATCCCAGCTACTCGGGAGGCTGATGCATGAGAATTACTTGAACCTAGGAGGTGGAGGTTGCAGTGGGCCGAGGTCACGCCACTGCACTCCAGCCTGGGAAACAGAGTGAGACTCAGTCTGAAAAACAAACAAAACAGAATCCTTTCTCGGTGTTCTGGGAAAATAATAATATAAGTTAACTTTTATTAAGCACCTAACAAACATTAACTTATTTCATCCTCAAGGCAACTTCATGAGGTAAGAATTGTTATTTCCTGTCCTACTGTTTTTCAGATGATGTTTATAACTCACCAAAGGTTACACAGATAGTGCATAGTGAAACCTACAGAGCCAGGAAAAAATGAGATTTGCCTTCACCAAGCTAATTGATTCCAGGTCTTCTTTCTGCCCAGCCACCTCTCTATGTTAGGCTAGCTGCATGGAATCATAGAGGAGCACAAACCCGTGCACACCATCAGCAATAGCACCACACGATGACAATAATAACAATGACAATAACACGGCATGGCCCCATCTGGTTTTTCAACACCAAGCCCTATCTGGTGTTTCTAGTTTTTATTTTTTGGAACAGCTAAAATAAGGTATAATTTGGTATATAATAAACTTCACATATTTCAGGCATATAATTTGAAAGCTTTTAACATATATATACACCCATGAAACCATCACAATCAAGATAATGAACATATCCCTCACTCCCAAAAGCTTCCTCCTGCTTCTTTTTCATCCCCTCCCCAGACTCCCATCTCCAAGCAACAAGGATCTGCATTCTGTTGCTATCGACTAGCCTACATTTTCTACAATTTTA